>NC_000012.12:31970894-32123589 GCF_000001405.40 Homo sapiens | reverse complement strand
TGGCTGTCTTAATAACTTCATCTTTAATTTTTTCCCAGCCTAAATCAGTGCAATACCATAACCACCTATTAAACACCTGCTATGGTGGGAAGGAAGAGAATGCCATATACCTCATGGGATACTGAGTTAATGAAAACTTCTTTTCCCTGAAGGGGGTCTTAGTCGTGCTTGAATGTATGCAGAGGTTATCTCAATGAAGGAAAAAGTGCAGAACATTGTGACTTTTCTGCTCAAAGCTCTCTGAAAGTTTCCCATCTCACTCAGAGCAAAAGCCAAAGTCCTGATAATCTAGAAGCTGCTACATCATGTGGCCCCCTCTGGTCTCACCTACTATTCACCCCCTAACTCAGTCCCCTCCAGCCACATGGCCTCCTTAGTGTGTCTTCTCAATGAGGCTTTCTCTGATCACTCTATTGAAAATCATAACCTTCTTCCACTTCACATGCCATCTCCCTATTCCCAGGGTTTTTTCCCCCCATAGCATTTTGGATGATCTAACGTGCTATCTACTTAACTCATTCATTTTGTTTATCATCTCTCTTCCCCCACAAAATGTAGGCTCCGCAAATATGGACCTTCTGTTGTGTTTGTTCTCTGCTGTATTTTCAACACCCAAATCTGACACTGAATCATTATTGTAGGAATGAATGAATGAACCATTAGTTATGTTTATACAATGACCTATCTGCTCACAGCATTACTTTGAAATCCATTTTTCAAATTTCTGAATCACACTGGCATCACAAATTTAAATACATCTTAAGATTTTTTCGCTTGGCATTGATTAATGATGACTAAAATCTCATTGGTCTAGAGCTTTCTTCGTTGCTTTTTTCTGAAAAGACTTACTGTGACCATTATCTAAAAATGTAATTGTTGTTTTGAGACCCTGGTCTAAATTTTAGCAAATAATTGCTTGTATTGTCTCAAGCACTTCAACATGATTTACAAAAATATATTACTTATTATGCCACAATGAAAAATAGCACCTGATTATAAAACATGACTGGAAATAACTACAGTAATTAAGATAGAAGACCTGAGAATGCTCTTAAGAAAGGGTTCTACTTCTTTTTTTGTTATTTGTTTTTTTTTTTTTTTGAAACGGAGTCTTGCTCTGTCGCCCAGGCTGGACTGCAGTGGCGCGATCTCAGCTCACTGCAAGCTCCGCCTCCCAGGTTCACACCATTCTCCTGCCTCAGCCTCCTGAGTAGCTGGGACTACAGGCGCCCACCACCAAGCCCGGCTAATTTTTTGTATTTTTCATAGAGACGGGGGTTTCACCATGTTAGTCAGGATGGTCTCGATCTGTGTTAGGATGGTCTCGATCTGTGTTAGGATGGTCTCGATTTCCTGACCTCGTGATCCACCCACCTCGGCCTCCCAAAGTGCTGGGATTACAGGTGTGAGCCAGCGCGCCCAGCCTTAAGAAAGGGTTCTACTTCTAAATTATTGTAAAATATTAACAAACTGAGGCTGGGTACAGTGGTACACACCTGTAATCCCAGCACCTTTGGAGGCTGAGGCAGGTAGATGTCTTGAGTCCAACAGTTTGAGACGAGCCTGCACAACATTGTGAGACACTGTCTCTACAAAAAATACAAAAAAATTAGCTGGGTGTGGTGACTCACACCTGTAGTCCCAGCTACTCAGGAGGCTGAGGCAGGAGGATCACTTGAGCCTGGGAAGTCAAAGCTGCAGTGAGCCGAGATTGCACCATTGCACTCCAGCCTGGGCAAGAGAGTGAGACCCTGTCTCAAAAAAAAAAAAAAAAAAATTTGACAAACTGAGATCTTCTGTTGTTCAGATCACTATATCATTAACCGTAGGTTTTCTTTGTTTGTTTGTTTGTTTGAGATAGAGTCTTGTTCTGTTGCCCAGGCTGGAGTGCAGTGTTGCGATCTTGGCTGTCTGCAGTCTCTGCCTCCTGGGCTCAAGCCATCCTTCCACCTCAGCGCTTTTATTTTTATTTTTATTTTTATTTTTATTTTTATTTTTGGAGACAGAACAAGACTCTCGCCCAGGCTGGAGTGCAATGGAGTGATCTTAGCTCACTGCAACCTCCGCCTCCCAGGTTCAAGAGTTTCTCCTGCCTCAGCCTCCCAAGTAGCTGGGATTACAGACACGCATGATCACATCCAGCTAATTTTTATATTTTTAGTAGAGAGAGGGTTTCACCATGTTGGCCAGGCTGGTCTTGAACTCCTGACCTCAAGTGATCCACCCACCTTGGCCTCCCAAAATTCTGGGATTACAGGCATGAGCCACCATTAGTTTTTAATGCCAACATTAATTAAGATCTGGTATGAATTTTTAAAATTATCTATGGACGCCAGGTGCTGTGGCTCACGCCTGTACTCCCAGCACTCTGAGACAGGTGGATCATGAGGTCAGAGGTTCAAGACCAGGCTGGCCAACATGGTGAAACCCCGTCTCTACTAAAGATACAAAAACTTAGCCAGGCATGGTGGCACACGCCTGTAATCCCAGCTACTCGGGAGGCTGAGGCAGGAGAATCACTTGAACCCAGGAGGCGGTGGCTGCAGTGAGCTGAGATCACGCCACTGCACTCCAGCCTGGGCAATAGCGCGAGACTCCGTCTCAAAAAAAAAAAAAAAAAATTCTATGGAGCCAACAATTCAAAAGCTATTTATAATCAGTTTGGAGCACATTATATTTTTTCCTTTTTTTTTTCTCTCTCTCTCTCTCTCTCTCTCTCTCTAATGGTTGATTTTCCTTCCTATATTTTCTTGAGATTTGGAGCTTAAAGAATCTAAGCACACCAACCTTAGCAGAAAGAAAGCCAGTTTGTGATTTAAAAGACAAAAAAAAAATGGTCATGCGTGCCAAAGAGATAATCTGCAAGACAATAGTATCTCCAGCTCAACAAAAGAAGTCATGTACAAGATTAAACTCATGCTGTTTCCATCCAGTAACCTCACACAAGGTCAACTTCAAGATATCTCCTAAAACCATCTAGCAAGTAGCAATCAGTGAGGCTTATCAACAGGGCCCATCCTTCTTACAATATAAACCTCTTTCAGTTTCAAAAATTGATGACTAAGAGCTCTTCAATAGTGGTATTTGATTCCACATTACTCTGCAGTATGCAAGAGAAAAACAAAGACCCATCATTCTGAACCTTCTATCACAGACCCACGCCAAACTGCAACAGAACATTCTTAAGGAAATTGCTACTGTTATTGTACACATATTGCTATTGCTCCCATAAATATAAACAGGTTCTCATTTTCAATTCTATATTTAAAGATAGAAACACAGCAGTTAAATATTACATTTGAGAGTAGTGCTTTTTCTCCTTAAAATGTTGGAAAACAGTAAAGATGTACAACCAAAAGAACAACTATAAGTCACCAAGAAGTTAGAGATCAATCCCTCAAAAAAAATTCTTTTTAAATATTCTATTTACAAATGTGTAAAGTTGGCATAAAAACTGCAAACAGAATAAAATAAATAGACACAATAAGAGAGAACTTTTAAAAGACACTTTAAACAGTACTCAAGAATACAAAATTAAATGCACTCAAAGTTAACATATATCTCTGTCTAATGCAGTTAAGTTTTTGATATTTTCTGTTTTCAGGAAGGATTTAATATTTTCATTTTCAGAAAGTAGAAACAACAAATTTTAAAAGACTGTGCAATGAAGGTTTATGTATTAGCTCATAACTTCCCAGTTTTTTGTTTTGTTTTGTTTTGAGACAGAGTCTTGTTCTGTCGCCCAAGCTGGAGTGAAGTGTCACGATCTCAGCTCACTGCAACCTCCACCTCCTGGGTTCAAGCAATTCTCATGCCTCAGTCTCCCGAATAGCTGGGACTACAGGCGCATGCCAGCATGCCCAGCTAATTCTGTATTTTTAATAGAGATGGGGTTTCGCCACGTTGGTCAGGCTGGTCTCAAACTCCTGGCCTCATATGATCCATCTGCCTTGGTCTCCCTAAGTGCTGGCATTACAGGCATGAGCCACTGCACCCGGAACTAGATTTTCTTACTAAACACTTCTACGCCCATGGGGTCATTTAGTCCTCAAGTTGGAAATATAGAAGAGGGGTTCTTTACCCTGGCTGCATCTCTAAGGGAAGTGGGATTCACATGCTGAAGCCAGGCTCCACTTCCAATGAGTGATTTAACTCTCCCGGAGTGGGGTCCAGGCAGCAGTAGTTTTATAAATCACCCAGGTGATTCTAACATACAGTCTGTATTGAAAGTCACTAGTTCCTACCCACCTCTTCTCAGAGAAGACCTCAGGGAGATATCCAAGGTCTGCTCAAACATTTCCAATGTTGAGACCCAATACCTCATTAGAAAAATCCAGTAGGCAATACACTGTGTTACAGAATGGTCATATTTCAAATATGAATGGTCATTTTTACAGAGCATGGTAACCCATCCCTTCCCCTAACAACTACAACAGAGTTCGCAGATCTTGGCACTTGTCCTCTTCTTAAAAATCACATTCCCCAGTCTCCACATGACTGGCTCCTTGTCATCATTCAGGTCTGGGCTCAAGTCTCACCTCCTGGGGAAGACTGCCTGATCACGCTTTCCCCAGCCAGTCTGTCTCTTCCCTCATGGCACCTCTCACAACTGAAATATGTGTGGATGTTCGTTGACTCTCTTCCCAGTCTGAAACATAAGCTCCACCCAGGCAGCCCCATTGGGTCTGTCTTGTTCAACGCTGTATCTCCAGCAAGTGGCACCATGCCCGACACAGTAGCCACTCAATACAAATTTTTGAATGAATAAATGAAACAGATGAAGAGGTAATGGGCAATCTAAAGCAAAAAGAAAACATCAGAGTGGTAGATAACGTAAATACAGTCATCCCTCAGTCTGGGTGAGGGTGTGGGGGTTCCAGGACCCCCTGCAGATACCAAAATCCACAGATGCTCAAGTCTCTGAGATAAAATAGTGTAGTATTTGCATGTAACCTACACACATCCTCCAGTATACATTAAATCATCTCTAGATTACTTATAATACCTAATACGATGTAAATGCTATGTAAATAGCTGTTATGCTGAATTATTCAGGGAACAATGACCAAAAAAAGCCTGTATACGTTTAGTACCGATGCAATTTTTTTTCCAAATATTTTCAATCCAAGGATGCAGAATCCAAGGATGCTGAACCCACAGATTCTGGGGCCTGACTAGTTGACGATGCAGATTATAAAATATTGGACTAGGCCAGGCTCGGTGGCTCACACCTGTAATCCCAGCACTTTGGGAGGCCGAGGCGGGCGGATCACAAGGTCAAGAGATCGAGACCATCCTGGCTAACACGGTGAAACCCCATCTGTACTAAAAATACAAAAATTGGCCAGGCGTAGTGGCGGGCACCTGTAGTCCCAGCTACTTGGGAGGCTGAGACAGGAGAATGGCATGAACCCAGGGAAGCGGAGCTTGCAGTGAGCCGAGTTCGCGCCACTGCACTCCAGCCTGGGCGACAGAGTGAGACTCCATCTCAAAAAAAATAAATAAAATAAAATAAAATAAAATAAAATATTGGACTAAGCGGGCCGGTGCGATGGCTCACGCCTGTAATCCCAGCACTTTGGGAGGCCGAGGCGAGCAGATCACCTGAGGTCAGGAGTTCGCGACCAGCCTGACCAACATGGAGAAACCCTGTCTCTACTAAAAATACAAAATTAGCTGGGCATGGTGGTGCATGCCTGTAATCCCAGCTACTCGGGAGCCTGAGGCAGGAGAATTGCTTGAAACTGGGAGGTGGAGGTTGCGGTGAGCTGAGATCATGCCATTGCACTCCAGCCTGGACAACGAGAGCGAAATATGGTCTTAAAAAAAAATATATATATATATATATATATATGTGTGTGTGTGTGTGTGTGTGTGTATATATATTTGTGTATATATATATATATATGACTAAGCGTAAATGACAAAATATAAAGTCATGCACATGCACATGTGCCCGTGTGTGTGAAAAAGAAGATTCTGGAGGCTGTAGACCTCCCTCAATGCAACCACGTAGCTTCAAAATGTACAGTTTCACTGAAAGCTCTCCAAATTTAGAGATACACTCATCTTAAAGCTTTATATTACCCATTAGTTTTCTTCTGAAAATAAAGCAAAACATAAATCAAAATAAAGTTTTGAGACACTGTGAAAACATTCCAAATGTTTACAGTCATCAAATAGTGTGAAATGCCAAACATTAAAGCAGAACAATTTAACCATGTTGGAAACACTGCTCTGGTGGTGGGAAAAGTATAAAAAACATAAACTTATCAAATTATTTGGAACACCTGGAATGATAAAAATCAAAGAAATCCGAATAAGAATGAACCTTAGAGATCATTCTAGATATACCCCTTCCTAAGGACAACTCCCCATAGAGTATTCTCAGCAAGTGGCTCACTAGCTTCTCCCTTTTGGTGACAGGGAATTCATTACTTCCTAAGAAGACTGCCTCATTCCATTACTAGACAACTACACTTGTCAGAAAGTGATTTATTTTGATCCAAAATCTGGCTCCCAGTGACTCACAGGGCCTTGTTCTGCTCTCTGAAGCCAAGTACAGACGCATCAATGAAAACAAACGTAACATATCAGTTCTATAACATAATAGGTGAGATCAGAAAATATGAATCCAGAAGAAAAGTGAGTTTGGACCAAGTGTTCAAAGAAAAAGGGAACTATGAAATGGTTAAAAAAAAAATGTAGAAGGCCAGGCACAGTAGTTCACACCTACAATCCCAACACTTTGGGAGGCTGAGGTGGGAGAATCACTTGAGCCCAGAAGTTCAAGACCAGCCTGAGCAACATAACAAAACCTCATCTCTGCAAATAATAATTTCTAAAAATTAGTTGGGCCACCTGAGCCTCCAGTAAAAACAAAATCAGGTTAAAAAAAAAAAAAATAGCCAGCATAGTGGTGTGCACCTGTGGTCCCAGCTACTCTGGAGGCTGAGGTGGGAGGATTACTTGAACCTGTGAGGTCAAGGCTGCAGTGGGCTGTAATCGCACCACTGTACTTCAGTCAGAGCGACAGAGTGAGACTCCATCTCAAAATTACATATATATATATATATATAGAGAGAGAGAGAGAGAGAAAGAGAGAGAGAGAGAGAGAGAGAGAGAGACAGACAGACAGACAGACAGACAGAGACAGAGACATAGTACAAGTGCTAAAATAAGGTGGACTATCTTGGCTAGAACTGAGTGACCAGAGTGGAAAAACAAAGGAGAAAAAATACATAAAAGAGTTGATGGAAGATCCCTGAAGTCTAGGTGAAAATTACTGCAACTAGGCAAAACTATTCTGTACTTTGGAAAAATATTGAATGAATTTGAAATGTAAAGGACAGGCAGTAAATAAGCAGAACATGCAGCTCTAAAACACAGCCATCTCAGAGATTTAGAGCTGGTAAAAAAAAATCATAGACATTATGTATTGCAACACCTTAATTTTATAGACTTAATTAAATCCCAAGAGGAAAAGGTATCAATTTCCACTTTCATATTCCCCTCCATTGTAATAACACCTTCACTGAACATTTTCCTCTTTTGTACCCTTTTCTCCCCACCTCCTGCACAGCATGCTGAATCTGAGATGTTGTATAAGATCCTAACTATTTCAAAACTCAGCTTTCAGAGGGCAAAGAAGGGATAACGTAATAAAGCCCAACTGCCTGAATCATCCTGGCTTGCCACCAAGACCCAGAATGGACAGGATGTGGTCACACTGCAGGACTGGCTCTTGCCGGCCATGGAAACTAGCCAGGTATTATGCTGATACACGTATCTCCATCAGCAGCTAACAAGACAAGGAATCAAAATCACTGCTAATTTACCCACAAAACTGTCCATCTTTTCCCCTGGTATCATTCCCCTGGGTCTGCTATTGGGCATCCAAATTCCATCAGTTTCTTTTATGCAAACCTACACCTTTTCCTCTTTCACTTACCATCCATGCTACCCTCAGGGTACCATTTTCACCACCTTCCCACATCCCCAGGGTCACCCAAACTCTGAGCTTCTCGGGTTTTCTTCCCTAATCGGTCTCATTTTCTTCACACTTCACCAGTGCTTTAAAAATGCAGCTTTGTCTCGTAAATACCTGCCTTTTGAAAGGACATACTACTAAATTTAAAACACCAGGCTGCAAGATCCTGTTTTTATAAAAACAAAGGAAGAAAAACAGCAAAAAAAAAAAAACCAAAAACACCACACACACAAAAACCCTGCCTATATGTTTAAAGACATTTAAAACAAGTACAGAAGAATACTCAGCAAAGTGTTAACAACAGAGACAGAACTGTGGGAGAAGAAGGGAAAACTATTAATTTATATATGCTTTTCTCTAGCTTGGAGTACTGCAATAAAAACTGTCATAATTACACAATTTTAATTCTTAAAAAGCAAACTCTTGAAATGAAAAATAGAAAAGGCTGGGTGCAATGGCTCATGCCTGTAATCCCAGCACTTTGGGAGGCTGAGGAGGGAGAATCGCTTGAGGCCAGGAGTTCAAGACCAGCCTGGTCAACATATTGAAACTCCCCCGCCGCCCACACCCCCCACCAAAAGAAAAGAGGAAAAAAACCCACTTAAATTAAAAATGCTAATGCATCTTCAATAAAGATTAAATAAGATTGATAAAGATTAGTCAGTGAGCAGTGAGGACTGTTGCTCCCAGCCCCCATAACCCTAAATGGTGAGTAAGGGCTAATTTTCCACTTAGGCTGCCTTCTTAGACCTTACTGTCCCCAGTCAGCTTTTTTGCCCATCGTTTATTTGTTTTCATTTTTCCTAATTTAGAAAGCAATCAAACTAACTGGTGAAAACATTATTAAATTGTTTATATCCCATATTCTAGAAATTAGGCTTCTATAAAATAACAACCAATTGCACAAATTAATTTTTTTTATTAAATTGAAAGTTAGCCTGTAATCCTAGCACTTTGGGAGGCCAAAACAGGCGGACTGTCCTTAGCTCAAGAGTTCTAGACCAACCTGGCTTACATGGCAAAACCCTGTGTCTACAAAAAAAATACAAAAATTAGTCAGGCATGGCGGTGTGCACCTGTAGTCCCAGCTACTTGGGGGCTGAGGCATGAGGATTGCTTGAGCCCAGGAGGTCAAGGCTGCAGTAAGCCACGATCACACCACTGTACTCCAGCCTAGGTGACAAAATGAGACCCCATCTCAAAAAAAGAAAAAAAAGAAAGTTGAGGATCTGAATCCATCATGCAATGTACGCTTCCCCAGCAAAGAAAACATGAATTAAAAGGACTTATGTGGCTGGGCACAATGGCTCATGCCTGTAATCTCCACACTTTACGAGGGCAAGGCAGGCAGATCGCTCGAGCTCAGGAATTTCAGACCAGCCTGGGCAACATGTTTGAAATCTTCTCTCTACTAAAAGTACAAAAATTAGGCTGGGCGCGGTGGCTCATGCCTATAATCCCAGCACTTTCGGAGGCCAAGGTGGGTGGATCACGAGGTCAGAAGATCAAGACCACTCTGGCCAACATGGTGAAACCCTGTCTCTACTAAAAAAAATACAAAAACTAGCCAGGCGTGGTGGCGCGCGCCTATAATCCCATCTACAGGTGGCTGACGCAGGAGAATCACTTGAACCCGGGAGGCAGAGGTTGCAGTAAGCCGAGATTGCGCCACTGCACTCCAGCCTAGGCGACAGAGCGAGATTCTGTCTTGGAAAAAAAAAAATTATTCAGGCATGGTGGCAGGCACCTGTAGTCCCACCTATTCAGGAGGCTGAGGCAGGAGAATCGCTTGAACCTGGGAGGTGGAGGTTGCAGTGAGCTGAGATCAGACCACTGCACTCCAGCCTGGGTGATAGAGTGAGATTCCAGCTCAAAAAAAAAAAAAAAAATTACCCAAGCATGGTGGTATGCTCCTGTAGTCCCAGTTACTTGGGAGGCTGAGGCAGGAGAATCACTTGAACCCAGGAGGCAAAGGTTGCAGTGGGCTGAGATCATGCCACTGCACTCCAGCTGGGGAAACAGAGGGAGACTCAGTCTCAAAAAAAAATTAGCCAGGCATGGTGGCATGGGTCTGTATTCCCAGCTCCTTGGGAGGCTGAGATGGGAGGATCACTTGAGCCAGGATGGTTAGTTAAGGTTGCGGTGAGCTGTAACAGCACCACTGCACTCCAGCCTGGGTGACAGAGAGAAACCCTGTGTCAAAAACAACAGAAACTCATGTAACTTGAGCATCAATTTCACCCTCTAAAACTGCTCTGCCCCATAATACCTTCCTTTGTAAATAGAACCACCTCCTATCCAGCCTGAGAAGATTCTCAGCTCCACTGTCTTCCTCACTTTCCACATATAGTAACATCCAATGCCTGTTCCACCCTACCTCCCAAATAGCTCTTAGACGTGCCCCCTCCTCACGATCCCTACTGCCACTGTCTGTCCCACCACACAGCCTCAATCCACCCACTATGACCATCACCATAACCTTCTATACTGCACTTGTAGACTTGGCAGAGATATTTCATATTCAAGGTAGTATGATGCAGTGAAAAAAAAGTGGGCTTCTTCCAAGTTTCATCGTTTAGTTTTGTGGCCCTGGGAAGAGACCTAAACCTCTCTAAGACCCAGTTTCCTCTTCTGTATAATGCAAGAAACACCTACCTTGAGTAAGGATTGCTGCATGAATTAGAGGTGAGGCTTGTAAAGAACCTAGTTCTAAATGGAGCCTTGTACCTAAGTCAATGCTTTATTATTTTTATTATCTTCTTATCAGTAAAAATGAGCAGTAAGCCCTCTGAATTGTTTTGAAGACTGGTGAGATTAAACACAGTGACTGTTTCATTTATTTTCAATGGCTCCACATCCCCAAGACAAAATGTGGCCATGGCCCTTTCACAATTGCATCTCCTGCCACTTGACTTTACGTGCATTCTCCTTTAGCGTAATGAATTATTTAATACTAAGACTATGCAGCCCTTCATGCCCTCCTCTCCTCAAAGCCATAATTACAGGTGGAATCTTATGTGTGGGCAAGTCCTTTATGTATATTTCAACATGCAAGTAATTAATTACCGTATTTTCAAATTTGGAAAGCAATATCCATGAGTACAACTATATTTAAGGGGATGATAGGGCAAAATATTTGCAAGCAGAAAGTTCTGAAGAAACCTTCAAACCATCGCTGTCATACATGTTCACATAAACATGGGGAATGTGATAAAAGATGATAAATTCTTGCTAAGTTATATCTGAGAAATAACTTCGCCAGAGACGAAATCTTGATTTCAAATAAAAAGAAGGGGCTGGGCGTGGGGGCTCACGCCTGTAATCCCAGCACTTTGGGAGGCTGAGGCAGGCGGATCACCTGAGGTCGGGAGTTCAAGACCAACCTCACCAACATGAAGAAACGCTATCTCTACTAAAAATACAAAACTGGCCAGGTGTGGTGGCGCATGCCTGTAATCCTAGCTACTCGGGAGGCTGAAGCAGAAGAATCACTTGAACCCAAGAGGCAGAATTTGCGGTGAGCCGAGATCACACCATTGCACTCCAGCCTGGGCAACAAGAGTGAAACTCCATCTCAAAAAAAAAAAAAAAAAAAAAAGGGATAGTGCAAGTTAGAGCAACTGGGTCCAGAAAAAAAGAAATGTGATTGAAAGCGATGATGTTTATTTGTTGAGGTTGTTTGTAAACAGTTTCCAAAAGCATATCTTAATGTATTTTAGATTTTAAGATTAATTTGATAATAAATGTAAATATTTTTTCTTTAAAAACATCGAGACCATCCTGGCTAACAAGGTGAAAGCCCATCTCTACTAAAAATACGAAAAATTAGCCAGGTGTGGTGGTGAATGCGTGTAGTCTCAGCTACTCCGGAGGCTGAGGCAGGAGAATGGCGTGAACCCGGGAGGTGGAGCTTGCAGTGAGCCGAGATCACACCACCGCACTCCAGGCTGGGTGAAAGTGCGAGACTCCATCTCAAAATAAAATAAAATAAAATAAAAAAATAAAAACAATGAGAGAAGTTAAAAATCATAGTTCAGATAGATCAATTAAGTATTAACTGTCTCTTTATGTTTATTCATAGATTGGAAAAGAAATCTGGGGTTTTTCTTGCCATATGATTTTGTGATTTAGAACTTAAAGATATAAAAGAAACTAACAATCTTTCTAAGCATCTGAAGGGAAAACAATTCTGCTTAAAGATGAATCTAGGTAATTTAAGTGGCATTCATCAGGTCACCAATGTGACAAGCTCTAAAACTGTGTAAGTACATATTTTTGTGTTGAATGATTTAACTATAACCCTGAAAAAGAATAGAGTTGGCTCCAAAAGAAAAAGCTGCCCAATGTCCAGAAAGTGCTTCTTCAGCAGCTGGTAACTATCCTTGGTGTCAGGGTTGACAAAATAAGCAAGAAAATGGGTTGAAGCTCATTAGTGCATAGTTTACGGTATCCAAGCTGCAAAACTTTTCTAAAGCTGTCTCACAGATACATTTCCTTTTTAAAATGCCATCAGTAATGCTGAATCATTCCTTTCTAAGGGGCTCTTTTTCAACTTTACAACATTTTAAATTTCAACCATTTTTAAGTTAAAAAAAAACTCTTTTTTTTTATTATTATACTTTAAGTTTTAGGGTACATGTGCACAACGTGCAGATTAGTTACATATGTATACATGTGCCATGCTGGTGTGCTGCACCCATTAACTCGTCATTTAGCATTAGGTATATCTCCTAATGCTATCCATCCCCCCTCCCCCCACCCCACAACAGTCCCCAGAGTGTGATGTTCCCCTTCCTGTGTCCATGTGTTCTCATTGTTCAATTCCCATCTATGAGTGAGAACATGCGGTGTAAAAAAAACTCTTAAGTTTAGATCCAAGGTATTTTTATATATGTATATTTTTAGTTTTCAGGTTATTTTGGAGCTATGACTCTTCTTCAAACACTATTCTGGCCTGGGTGACAGGCGCACAGTGCTGATTTACGTACATCCCAAACATATAATCAGCCAGGCCCTGAACATAACTGGGCATGGGTGACCCTCACTCAGGTCACTGAAGAGCAAGTGTTACTTGTGAAATCACAAAACCAGACTCAAGTATTCTAGTGGACATACTGCTCTGTCCAGCTGCCCAAAGAATCATGAAAAGGAGAACACTTTGATGATGTCAGAAGTCATCCTTTTTTCAAATCCTTAGTACTATTCTTTCAAGTGTGTTCTTCTGTGAGCTGAATTACAGTAGTCCATGCAGAGCACTAAACAACATCAGGCCAGGTCAAAAAACAATTGAGTTGAGGGAAGAAATAACTAGGAAAAAAATTTAATGAATTTCATCTTCTTGATTTTGCACATCTTTAGGCAACACTGCCGACTTGCATTATTGTCACAGCAGTACCTAGCCTGGGAAGGAAGGTAGCAACATTGGTGGGTACTGACTCTGGAAAACAAAATGATCTGCAAAGACTGAGCCATGTTGCTATACTGCAAATTACTAATGTCCAATTTGGACTTAATACAGTAGTTTTCTGTTGACATTCCCATAAACTGGTTCAATTATTTTTAAATAAATCATATTTGTTCAAAAATCCTAGAAATAAGCAAAGATTTATTTTATGCTTGGCTTTATAGATATAATGCAACATCATTTACTATACATACCTGATGAGCAAAACTTTCTTTTGAAAAATCAAAACACTCACAAAATATTTTTCAAAACTGAGGTGTTGGAACACCTCAGTTTGCACAATTATTTTGGATTTACTTTTCATACAAGAAATGTTACTTGAAATCAATTTAACTCATTTAAGTTATATTTCCAACTAAAGTATATTCTATGTTTAAAGAATAAAAATAATAGGCCTCACTATCAAATAATCAACTATAATAATTTTATTACCTAAAATACATTTTTATATAACTGTATAAACCAGTTTTTTAGGAATCTCGAATTTCACTTATGCTAAATGCAACTGAAAATAAATATATGAACAAGAATCGTTTAGTAAAAATAATGCTGGTAAATTTTTATTAACCTCCTGCTATATAGAACAAAATATATATTAAAATATTTATAGAAAAAATTTTAGTTGGTATTTGCATTATTCTGTATTAAGAAACCACAGTTACATTATTCCTACAAAACGTTTTTTTCACATTTTTCTCATTACTGCTGGTGAAACTAATACAGGTAGTTTTATTAACATCTGTCACTTCCTATACATCCTAATTTTCTTAGTATTTATCTAACACTAATCAATATTGACTAGTGAACCCTTGATAAAAGTGTGCCTTCTTCTAGTACAAACTGATTCTTTCATAAAATATTTCATGCCCACTGTGTGCTAGCTTTTGTGTTAAAGACTTGGGATGCAAAGCTCATGGTGTAGCAAAGGCAAAACACAATTGCATTAAGGTTTGCTATGCAAGGTAAGTGCAATGACAGAAATATCCCTAGAAGGATTGTTTAAATCAAGCAGCAAAGTCAGTAAGAGGTACATTTCATTAAATTAAGTCCATCTCCTTTATCAAGAAGGTGATGGCTTACCACTTTCTGGTTTGCACTTCCCTATCTTGGCAAAGCAGTGTTGATAGGTATAGACAATATCAAAACATCTCTGAGAATGACAGTCATCATCCTGCTTCCTCACTTCACAAGGTTTAGCATCACTGCATTTAAACATGTCAGCCTAATCTAAGTTGGAAAATATAAACAAGTCCAGCTGTTGTTAAGACCAGACAGGTACATGGTAAGTAAAATAGGAACCAGAAATTTACAGCCTGACACACAAAAATTAGATTCCTAGTTGGGATTTTTAATCATAGGTAGTACATTTATTTTTTGGTAGACAGGCATCCAAATAAAAATAAGACATATCTAAAAGTATAAATGCTTACCATATTACACACTAAATTGGAAGGCAAGTTGATTCAGTATGTCATAAATCACATCTTTTAACTGTAACAGCATAAAATAAATAATAGATTTTTGATATTATATGCCAAACAATAATTAACATTTAAATGTCAATATGCACCTAAAAATAAGGACTTGACACACAGAAAAGGAGTGTATATTACATTTAAATTTGTAAGTGGTTATTTGCTACCCATAGTGCCTCAAGAATCAGATAAAAAAGACCGAGTTACTTAAACAATATGTATGTTCTTAAGAGTGACTGATAGGAAATCAAAGCACGTTCATTGTTTTCTCCCATACATCCGACAGGCTTTAAAAGAGGCCAAATACCAAAAAACTAAAGAGACATTATACATCACCCATTTTTGATATTCTGGTTTTATAAATATATCATTTCAACCAGAAGAGCCTCATTTGAAATGCAACACTACCCACGTATTTGATATACACCACTCTTTCAGACTATTTGTAGGTGAGTTCAATTTTTTCTAGTCAGGGTGACCTCATAAGACTTGGACATGGCCCAGCCTCGCTCCGAGGTGAAATCAAGGCAGTGGGATCACCCAGCAAAGTTGTTTTTCTTCTGCAGCCCAATGACAAGAATGACTAAAGCCAAGCAGAATGAAGATTGCCTAGCCTTTGTCAAATGGGATTGGTGAGGAGTTCCCTCTCTCACCAAGGAGTGGTTACATCCAGAGGAAAGCTGAGGTGCCACACAGTCTAAATCCTGAAATTGTGGGTCCTCAGGCACAAACCTCATCACTTTTGTGGACTACGAAATTGTCGCTGAAACCTGGGTTTGAGATAACAGCGGTTTTGAGAAGTTTGATTTATACATTCCAACCCACTTGAATGTCGTCTTAGAGTGCTGAGACTTGATGACTCTTACTAATCTCCCTCCCCCGCAGGCCAAACAGCCATTGCCTCCCAAATTCCAGCTTATATATTCATTTCTTAGGCAATTTTTCTCTTGGGGGAGGAAACAATGGACTCTTTCAATCTTCTCTTACCAACAAAGGGCCCTAGAAGAAAAAACAGTCCTTTCAATCACCTCCTTTATGACTTCTTGATCATGATGAGTGGGCCTTGCGGGTGGGGGGAGTGAGGGCCAGGAAAGGGAGAGGTGACAGGCAACTCACCTCTTTGAGCTGCTCCAGCTCCTGTTTGAGGCTGTCGTACTCAGCCTCCAGTTCATCATACTGCTGTTTGAGGGTCAGCTTCTCCTCCAGCACCACCAGCCCGTACTCGGCAGCCTGGATCTTCTCGTGGGTGGTCTCCGTGAGCTCCTTGGTTAGCCTCTCTATCTCAGTCTTATAATGGTCCACCGTCTGCAATACCTCTTCTGCGGCCATAGCCCCGGTGGATGGAGGCAGGAGGGGGTTACGGGGTGGGGGAGATGGATGCGAAGCTGGCGGGGAAAGGGAGAAGGAAATGGGAAGGGATGGGTGGAAACGGAAAAGAAAGTGCGGCCGGATGAATGAGCAGCGCGATGCCCCGCCGGCTCTGGTGGCAGCGGCAGCTACACCGCCCGAGAAACTGACGAGAAATGCAACATGGAGAACAGGGCAGAGGGTCAGGGGCGAGGCGGCAAAGGCCGCCGCATGTGTCCTCGGGGCCGGCCCCTGCGTGCGGTCAGCAGCCGTGCGGCATGGCCCGGGCTGCGGCGGCCGCGGGTAGCGAGGGGCTCCGGATTCTGCTTATTCAGAGACGCCCGTCCGCCATGTCTCCCGGGCCGCGTCACTGCAGTCTCGCCCTGGGTCTGGCGCGCTCCGGCTCGCGGCTCGCTCTCTCGCTCCACCTGCTCCCTCTGGCCCTGCAGCAGCCGGTGCGGAATGATGCAGTCTCGGGGCCGGCTCCCTCCCTTCCCGCGTGGCGGCGGCTCCGAGCAGGGGGCGGGGAGCGGATGGAGTCAGCGCGGGGGGCGGAGGGAAGGACCAGACGGAAACATCCCGAGGCGCCTCCCGCCGGGCGCGCGGGCCGCCGCCCGCTGCACCGTGAGGCGCGCCAGGAGGAGGCGCAGGCGACGGGTCTGGGACTGGGAAGCGGTGGGGCGCGCGCGGCGGGGGAGCCTCCGCCCTGTCCGGCTCGCGGGGGCGGGAGCTCCTCCCAGGGCTTTGTCCCGGTGGCAGTAGAAGACCCCGAGAGCGGCGTGGGCGCCCGGGCTCTTTTGCTACGTCGAGGGCCGAAGCTCAGGAAACTGCCTGGAACGCTTTCTCCCGAGAAAAGCAAACAAAACTATCGCGGTCGCGGTCCGCGCATCCTCCTCGTCCCCTGGGCGCGCAGAAGGCTTTTTGGGCCACCTGCCCCCAAAAGACCGCTGGGTTTCCCAAAGCTTTCAAGACGCACCCCAAGGCGCCCTCCTCCGTCGTCCCCCTCTCTCCCTGCCTCTCCCAAGTCTGGCCTGGGCCACCTAACACTCTCACCAGATAACCTTACTATCCTCACAGGACAGTCCGCTAAATATTGCTCGCCCTCACCCAGCGTATCACAAGAGCGCTATCCACTCAGAAAAAAAATATCTCCACAATACATGCACCCAGGAAACCTCTAGCTAGGTACTGTATATCTTGCCCCAATAGTTTCCATCAAAGCACCTTACTCTGTGTCTTCAATAAAGGAAAACTGCTTGAAATTCCCTATATAAGATACCAACGATGCCCTGTAATAAGCATTTTTTAAACAATAAGAGCTAAGAGTTCTTGAGACCCATACCAAGCATTCTTCTAAGTATGTAACATGCGTTCTCTCCAATCCTAACAATGCTTTGAGGTAAGAGCCATTATCCTCAGTTTACAGGGGGTGAAAGGCAAAGGGAGATGTGATTTGTCCAAAGTCAGGCAACTCTGGAATCTTAACTCGGGAGCACTAAACGGGATCATTATGTTGGCTTCAGGTTCACTCATTACTCATACAAACCCAGCAACTACATATTACATGCTTTTAAGATAATCACATTAATCCATATGAAGAGTGATGATGAACGGTTACAAAAGGAGGTGAAAGCAAAGTAAGAGTGGAGTAAATGAAAGAGTGGAGAAGGGTCGAGAATCAAGAGGAAGAACGCAACATGAGAGAAAAGAAGCAATTTCTGTGTAACGGGAGGCTGTGAGACCCACAGATCAGTGGGTCTTTCCAGTTCCCTCTCTTCTTCTGCATGGCACCTATTCCAGAGCTGTTTCTCAGTGACCAGGTGATGAACACACATGCGTTTTCTAAGTTAGAAAGCAGGACTCAACTCTCCCATCATTGTGTACCTGGTAAAAAAAAAAAAAAAAAAAAAAAAGATGATTGTTGACCGGGCACAGTGGCTCACGCCTATAATCCCAGCACTTTGGGAGGCAGAAGTGGATGGATCATTTGAGGTCCGGAGTTCAAGACTAGCCTGGCCCACATGGTGAAATCCCATCTCTACTAAAAATACAAAAATTAGCCAGGTATGGTGGTGCACGCCTGTGATCCCAGCTACTTGGGAGGCTGAGGCAGGAGAATTGCTTGAATCCAGGAGGTGGAGGGTACAGATGGCACCACTATACTCCAGCCTAGGCAACAGAGACTCCATCTCAAAAAAAAAAAAAAAAAAGGACACTTGTTGATGGCGTGGGAGAAAAAGCATATGACAGTGCCCTTCCAAAGTTTCCACTAGCAGGCTGTCTGGATGTGTTTTCCATTGCTTCACAAACCAGACAAGTTTCCTTCTAAACGCCAGCGATCACAACAGAATATTCTCATGTGATTGTCTGATCTAAAAATAAAACAAAAGAATATTCTCTTGTGATTGTCTGATCTAAAAATAAATAAATAAAAGGAGAAAACATTCCAAATGTGCAGCCACCATAAATTCCAGCCTTGTAGAGAAGCGGATGATAATGACTACAACATCCGACCCATCTTTCCTTATCTCGCACTCCAGGTGGGAAGCCCCTCCTGTGTGCTCCCGTGGCATCTGACCTCTGACACGTTGATGAATGATGATGAACTGCTGAAAAGAGATGGAACCTGCAATTGCAGGTAGCTAACCTGCCTTCCCAGGAAGCCTCTGGCTGTTCCTCACTCTACAAACTGTAAGCATAGGCCTTCCAAAGGGATCATAAGACTCGCACTAGATTGCCTGTGCCTCCCTCTCCTTTGGATCAAACTAAGAACAGAGTTTGCCTCTGTGACTTTCCTTTTTGCTAAATTTCCATTGTGGTCCAGCCCCTATGCTCTATCCTGCCCCGTTTTTCTGATTGATACACTTTTGTCACTTGTCACTTTTGTCTGATTTCAGGCATGTCTTGCACACTCTGACACTTTAAGATGTTGCTTAGTTGAACTTTGATCCTTAAATGTTGGTATTTAACGTAAAGAAGATAAACTTATTTTCTTGTTTTTTTTCTCTTTTTTTCTG
Source organism: Homo sapiens (assembly GCF_000001405.40). Lineage (NCBI taxonomy): Eukaryota > Metazoa > Chordata > Mammalia > Primates > Hominidae > Homo > Homo sapiens. The sequence goes on along the minus strand of NC_000012.12, from coordinate 32,104,296 downwards.
AGACAGGGTCTCCATCACTTAGGCTGGAGTGGAGTGGCATGATCATGACTCCCTGCAGCCTCAACCTCCTGGACTCAAGCGATCCTCCCACCTCAGCCTCCTGAGTAGCTGGAACTACAGATGAATACCACCACACTCAGCTAATTTTTTAAATTTTTGTAGAGACAGGGTCTGTCTATGTTGCCCAGGCTGGTCTCAAACTCCTGGGATCAAGTGATCCTCCCACCCTGGCCTCCCAAAGTTCTGGGATTACAGATGTGAGCCACCATGCCCAGCCAAATTTATTTTCCTATACACCATGCTGTTCCAGTACTGCATAGTTACAGTTCCCTCTTTTTTCGTATATGCCATATGTATTGCATATATATCAATGACAGGTATATAGAAAATAATTTCTTAAAGCATTCCTAGGCTGGGTGTGGTGGCTCATACTGGTAATCCTAGCACTTTGGGAGGCTGAGGCAGAAGGGTCACTTGAGGCCAGCAGTTCAAGACCAGCCTGGGCAACATAGCGAGACCTCATGGCTACAAAAAATTAAAAAATACTAGCTGGGCATGGTAATACATGCCTGTGGTCCCCAATACTTAGGAGGCTGAGGCAGTATGATGGCTTGAACCCAAGAGATTAAGGCTGCAATGTACTGATTGTGCCACTGTGCTCTAGCCTGGTGACAAAGCAAGACTCACCAAAAGAAAAGAAAAAAAGGCCAGGCTCGGTGGCTTACACCTGTAGTCCCAGTACTTTGGGAGGCCGAGGTGGGCGGATCATCTGAGGTCAGGAGTTCGAGACCAGCCCGACCAACATGGTGAAACCCCATCTCTACTAAAAATACAAAAATTAGCTGGGTGTGGTGGTGGGCGCCTGTAATCCCAGCTACTCGGGAGGCTGAGGCAGGAGAATCACTTGAATTCGGGAGTTGGAGGTTGGAGTGAGCAGAGATCCGCCACTGCACTCTAGCCCAAGTGACAGAGTGAGACTCCGTCTCAAAAAAAAGAAAAGAAAAAAAGCAAAAAAAAAAAGCACAAGCTAGTCTACTTGGGTCATATCCAACTTTGCCACTTACTAGCTGTGTGTTTCTCAGTTGTGTCATATCTAAAAAGGAGATAATAATATAATCTAATTATGAGATTGTTGTGAATAGAATAGTATCACACACATAAGCATTTTATATGTGCTTTTTAAAAGTTTTAAAAGAAAAACAAGGATAAAATTTAGGTAGAAAGAAGAAAAAAAGATAATCAGTAGAGATCTCTCTGAAGAAGTGATATTCATTTTATTATCTATGAGGAACAAAAAGGAGTCGGATATACAAAATGTGGGGGAGAAGCTTTTCAGGGAAAGGAAATAATGTGTAAAAGCCAAAGGCAGAAAAGAGCTTGTTGAGTGCAAAGAATAAAAATCTGAGAGGCTGCTGGGTGCAGTGGCTCATGCCTGTAATCTCAGCACTCTGGGAGGCCAAGGTAGGAGGATTATGTGAGCTCAGGAGTTCGAGACCAGCCTGGGCAACATACCAAGACCCCATTTCTACTAAAAAAAAAAAAAATTTTAATCGAACGAGCATGGTGGTGCATACCTGTAGTCCCAGCTACTTGGGAGGCTGAGGTGGGACGATCCCATGAGCCTGGCAGTGAAGGCTACAGTGAGCCATGATCGTGCCACTGCACTCCAGCCTGGGTGACAGAGCAAGACCCTGTCTCAAAAACAAATAAAAAAAAAAAAAAATGAAAGAGGCTGAGGATTAAGAAGCTCAAGGGAAATGGCCTAAGACTATATCAAGAAGTCAGGCAACATCAGAGAGATAGGCGGGAATTATACTTGCCTTGCAAGTCAGAATGAAGAATTTGGGTTTTATTCTCAGGGGAGGCCTTTGATGATTCTTTAGTCAGGAAATGAAATAGTTCTATTTGTATTTTAAGAATGTCAGCTGGATGCAGTGGCTCACGCCTGTAATCCCAGAGCACTGTGGGAGGCTGAGGCAGGCTGATTGCTTGATTCCAGGAGTTCAAGACCAACCTGGACAACATGGTGAAACCCCGTCCCTACAAAAAAAATTTTTTTAATTAAAATTTTTCTACTGCACACACAAAAAAGTTGGAAGATATCAAAAGATAGAAGTAGGGTCCCTAGTTAGGAAGTTGTTGCAGTTGTCCAGGAAAAAGAAAATCATGGCCTAGACTGAGATGATAGCAGCTGGGAAAAGAAGTACATGGATTTATATTGAGGAAGGAGTGGAATGGGAGAGTAGAATTCTTAAGACCTTTTTGAAGACTGAATGTGGGATAGGGAGAAAAAAGGAATCATAAATAAATTCTAATTTTCTGACTTGGGAAGACGGGCCGCCATTTAGTTAGATGGAACAGTTTTAAGAAATCAAGAGTTCTATTTTGAACATATTAGGCTTAAGACACTTTTGAAACATTTGTGGGGTTTTTGTTTTGTTTTTTTGAGATGGAGTCTCCCTCTGTTGCCCAGGCTGGAGTGCAGTGGCGTGATCTCGGCTCACTACAGCCTTTGCCTCCCGGGTTCAAGCGATTCTCCTGCCTCAGCCTCCCAAGTAGCTGGGACTACAGGCATGTGCCACCACACCCAGCTAATTTTTGTATTCTTAATAGAGACGTGGTTTTGCCATGTTGGCCAGGCTGGTCTTGAACTCCTGACCTCAGGTGATCCGCCTGCCTTGGCCTCCCAAAGTGCTGGGATTACAAGCATGAGCCACCGTGCCCAGCCACTTTTGAGATATTTGAATAGAAATATTAAGTCAATAATTTGATGTAAGACAAAAATTAAGAAGAGACTTCTTAGGAGGTATGATGACTTTGCTTTGAAAATCACTAGCGTTAGAGGGCATTGAAACCCATGGAAAACAGATGGGATTATCTAGGGAAAGATGTAAATAAAGAAGAGAAAGGGGTCTAGGATCTAGCCCTGAAGTATCCCTATTAAAGGTTGAGTTGGAAAGGAAAAGCCAGCAAAGAGAGTTGAGAGGGACTGGGTGGGGGGAAAATCAGGAGAGAAACATTTGAAAGGTAACAAAAGAGAAGTGTGTATGAGGAGCGAGGGAATAAGGACCAAGTCAGTGCCAACAAGAGGTCACAGCCAAGTACTATAAGGACACAAAATGTCACTGGATTTGGCAACATGGAGGTGGGTGCTCTTGATAAGATTCATTTGTGTGGAACAGAGAAGGCAGATACCAGGTTGTAGTGGATTACAGCATGAATAGAAATTTAAGATGTGTGCTGGGCGCAGTGGCTCATGCCTGCAATTCCAGAACTTTGGGAGGCCAAGGCAGGCAGATCATCTGAGGTCAAGAGTTTGAGATGAGCTTGGCCAACACGGCGAAACCCTGTCTCTACTAAAAATACAAAAATTAGCCAGGTGTGATGACGCACACCTGTAGTCCCAGCTACTCGGGAGGCTGAGGCAGGAGAATTGCTTGAACCTGGGAGGTGGTGGTTGCAGTGAGCCAAGATCGTGGCACTGCACTCCAGCCTGGGCAACAGAGCGAGACTCCATCTCAAAAAATTTAAGATGTGGAGACAGCCTAATCAGACAACTCCATGTCCCCAGAAATGATGGCAGGGATAACACACAATGAGAGGGTGTATCTGTGGGGCACTGGGGTGCTCTGCTGTGAATGGCCGGTGGGAAATCTTCCCTTCAAGAGCACTTCACATAGTGAGACCTCCAGATGCACTTTCAAGGGAGATGTGTGGCTTCCACACCAGTGCCTTCTGGGGCCAGGACTTCATCTCCAAGCTGCTTGGATACCAGCTCTCTCAGTGGCTGCCCTTGTCCACTTTAATCACCTGTACCCTGTAGGGGTGGGTTGCCCCTACACACCTGTGGGTGTTTCTCGTAAGGTGGGACGAGAGATTTGGAAAAGAAAAAGACACAGAGACAAAGTACAGAGAAAGAAATAAGGGGACCCGGGGAACCAGCGTTCAGCATTTGGAGGATCCCGCCAGCCTCTGAGTTCCCTTAGTATTTATTGATCATCTGTGGGTGTTTCTCAAAGAGGGGGATGTGTCAGGGTCACAAGACAATTGTGGGGAGAGGGTCAGCAGACAAACACGTGAACAAAGGTCTTTGCATCATAGACAATGTAAAGGATTAAGTGCTCTGCTTTTAGATATGCATACACATAAACATCTCAATGCTTTACAAAGCAGTATTGCTGCCCGCAGGTCCCACCTCCAGCCCTAAGGCGGTTTTTCCCTATCTCAGTAGATGGAGCATACAATCGGGTTTTATACCGAGACATTCCATTGCCCAGGGACAGGCAGGAGACAGATGCCTTCCTCTTGTCTCAACTGCAAGAGGCATTCCTTCCTCTTTTACTAATCCTCCTCAGCACAGACCCTTTACGGGTGTCGGGCTGGGGGACGGTCAGGTCTTTCCCTTCCCACGAGGCCATATTTCAGACTATCACATGGGGAGAAACCTTGGACAATACCTGGCTTTCCTAGACAGAGGTCCCTGCGGCCTTCCGCAGTTTTTGTGTCCCTGGGTACTTGAGATTAGGGAGTGGTGATGACTCTTAAGGAGCATGCTGCCCTCAAGCATCTATTTAACAAAGCACATCTTGCACCGCCCTTAATCCATTCAACTCTGAGTTGACACAGCACATGTTTCAGAGAGCACGGGGTTGGGGGTAAGGTCATAGATTAACAGAATCTCAAGGCAGAAGAATTTTTCTTAGTACATAACAAAATGGAGTCTCCTATGTCTACTTCTTTCTACACAGACACAGTAACAATCTGATCTCTCTTGCTTTTCCCCACAGTACCCTTTAGCTGTCATCCTCCTATCCCATCCCCATCCTCCACCCCATTACCCCAGTCCTAAGGAACTACTAAACTATTTTTTGTCTCTATAGCTTTCCCTAATCTTGATATTTCATATAAATAAAATCACATAATATGTAGTCTTTTGTGACTGGCTTCTTTCTTAACATAATGTTTTCAAAATATATCTATGTTGTAGCATATATCATACTACTTTCCTTTTTTTTTTTTTTTTTTTTTTGAGACGGAGTTTCGCTATTGTTGCCCAGGCTGGATGGAGTGCAATGGCATGATCTCGGCTCACCGCAACCTCCGCCTCCCAGGTTCAAGCAATTCTCCTACCTCAGCCTCCTGAATAGCTGGGATTACAGGCATGCGCCACCACGCCCGACTAATTTTTTGTTTGTTTGTTTGTTTGTTTGTTTGTTTTTTGAGACGGAGTCTCGCTCTGTCGCCCAGGCTGGAGTGCAGTGGTGCGATCTCGGCTCACCGCAAGCTCCGCCTCCCAGGTTCACGCCATTCTCCTGCCTCAGCCTCCCGAGTAGCTGGGACTACAGGTGTGCGCCCGCCACCATGCCTGGCTAGTTTTTTTTGTATTTTTAGTAGAGATGGGGTTTCACCCTGTTAGCCAGGATGGTCTCGAACTCCTGACATAGGGTGATCCACCCACCTCAGCTTCCCAAAGTGCTGGGATTACAGGCATGACCCACCGTGCCCGGCCACTGCTTACTTTTTATGGCTGAATAATATTGCATTGTTAGATATACCACCTTTGCATCCATCATCAGTTTATGGGCACTCGGGTTATTTCCACCTTTTGGCTATTATGAATAATATGTTATAAACATCGTGTACAACTTTCTTGTGGACGTATGTTTTCATTTCTTTTGGGCATACCTGGAAGTGGAATTGCTAAGTCATGTGTTAACTCAAAGTTTCATGTTTGGAAGGACTTCTGGATTGTTCTCCAAAGTGGCTGAACCATTTTACATTCCCAACACCAGTGTACAAGGGGTCTGATTTCTCCGTATCCTTGACAACCATGGTATCATCTGAATTTTTGAGTCCAGCCACCCTAGTAGATGTAAAGTAGCATATTTTGTTGCGATTTTGATTTGCAATTCTATGATGGCTAATTATGTTGAGCACTTTTTTATGTGTTTCTTGGCCATTTGTTTATCTTTGTTGGCAAAATGCCTGTCCAGATCCTTTGTCTATTGTTTGAGTTAGTTATCATTTTATTACTGAATGTATGGGTTCTTTGTATACTCTAGATACAAGCCCCTTATCAGATATTTGATTTGGAATGATTTTCTCTCATCCAGGGGATTGTCCTTTTACATTTTTAAATGGTCCTTTAGCCGGGCGCAGTGGCTCATGCCTGTAATCCCAGAACTTTGGGAGGCTGAGGTGGGTGGATCACTTGAGGCCAGGAGTTGGAGATGAGCCTGGCCAACATGATGAAACCCTGTCTCTACAAAAATAAAAAAATAAGCCGGATGTGATGGTGCATGCCTGTAATCCCAGCTACTTGGGAGGCTGAGGCAGGAGAATCGCTTGAACCTGGAGCGGAGGTCTCACCACTGCACTCCAGCCTGGGTGACAGGGTGAGATTCTGTCTCAAAATAATAAGTAAATAAATAAAGTGGTCCTTTAAAAAATGAAAGTTTTTAATTTTGATGAAGTCCAATTTATTTTTTCTTTTGTTTGTGCTTTTAGTGTCGTATCATTGCCAACTCTGAGGTTGAGAAGATTTAGACCTGTTTTATTTTTTAAATTTTTTAGTTTCAGCTCTTACATTTAGGTTTCTGGTTCATTTTGAATTAATTTCTTTAAATTGTGTGAGGTGAGGGTTCAATGTCATCCTTTGCAGGTGGCTATCCTGTTGTCCCAGCATCATTTGTCGAAAGGCTATTCTTTCCCCACTGAATGGTTTTGATACCCTTGTCAAAAGTCACTTGACCATAGACATATGGGTTTATTTCTAGACTCTCAAATCTATTCCATTGGTCTATATGTCCATCGATCTTAGTCCATTCAGACGTCTATAAGAAAATGCATGAGACTGGGTAATTAAAGAGCAGAAATGTATTTCTGCTCAGTTCTAGAGGCTGGGAAGTACAAGATCAAGGTGCCAGCAGAGTTGGTGTCTGGCGAGGGCTGCTCTCTGCTTCCAAGGTGGTACCTTCCTGCTGTGTCTTCCATGGTGGAAGAGCAGAAGCGAAAAAAAAAAAAAAAAAAAAAAAAGGCCTAGGCTAGTTCCCCATGTCCCTTTTATAAAGCACTAATCCCATCCGTGAGGGCAGAACCCGCATGCCTGAATCACCCCCTAAAGGTCTCACCTCTTAAACTGTTGCATTGGGGAATAACTTCCAACATGAATTCTGGAAGGGACACAGACATTCAAACCATCACACTATTTATGGTGTTACCACAATGTCTTGTTTACCATTGCTGTGTAGTAATTTTGAAATCAGGAAATGTGAATCCTGTAATAGAACTTGCCACACAGGCTGAGGTTTCAGGGAATGTCAGAGAGTAGATGAAGCTAGAAGGTCACAGCTTTTACTCAGGATTCTAAAGTAAAACTTAGGTAAAAAGGCTATTGTGGCTGGGCACAGTGGCTCACGCCTGTAATCCCAGCACTTTGGGAGGCCAAAATGGGCAGATCACTTGAGGTCAGCAGTTTGAGACTAGCCTGGCCAACATGGTGAAACCCCGTCTCTACTAAAAATACAAAAATTAGCTGGGCCTGCTGGTGCACATCTGTAATCCCAGCTACTCGGGAGCTGAGGCAGGAGAATCGCTTGAACCCAGGAGGTGGAGGTTGCAGTGAGCTGAGCTCACACCTTGGATTCTAGCCTGGGTGACAGAGCGAAACTCCATCTCAAAAAAAAAAAAAAAAAAAAAAAGAAAGAAAGAAAGAAAGGGCAGGCGCAGTGGCTCACACCTGTAATCCCAGCACTTTGGGAGGCTGAGGAGTGCAGATCACCTGAGGTCAGGAGTTTGAGACCAGCCTGGCCAACATGGTGAAACCCCATCTCTACTAAAAATACAAAAATTAGCTGGGCATGGTAGTGTGTGCCTGTAGTCCCAGCTACTCGGGAGGCTGAGGCAGGAGAATCGCTTGAACCTGGGAGGTAGAGATTGCAGTGAGCCAAGATCGAGCCACTGCACTCCAGCCTGGGTGACAGAGCAAGACTTCATCTCAAAAAAAAAAAAAAGAAAAAGAAAAAAAGAAAAAGAAAAGAAAGCAAGCAAAAAAAAAGAAAAGAAAAAAAAAGGCTATTGTGACTTAGAAAACAATTCATGTATCTCATAACATGCCCTGAAGGAAGAATTGGCTATTTCCTGGTTAGCACAGTATTCCACAGCCTGGGAATAAGAAGTTGGTTCCCTAACAGGAAAGCATCAGTCTTCTTTTCTTAGAAGAATAGACAGACCTGACTTTAAAACTTAGTCATCCTACTCTTCCAAGCTATTTGATCTTATACAAATTATCTGCTCAAAGTCTTGGTTTCCTCATTTGCTAATAAGGAACAATTATGCCTACTTCATAGAGAGGTTATAAGGATTAAATGAAGATATGCCTGTAAAATACCTAGCACAAGTGCTCATGTCTTTCTTTTTCCCAGGACCTTCCTTCTGATGATGGAATAATATTTGTCAAGAAGTTCCGGAATAAAAAACAAACACAAAGACAAAGATAAAAAGCTTGTGGATGAGAAACTAGATGTGCCTTTGGTGTGGAAACTCTGTTCTGGATGTCCTTAGACTGTAATTTAAGGAGACTCATAACGGAGATTTGAGATTTAATGCATATCGGAATTTGTATGGAAGTTGAAATAGCCCAAGGAGAGAATCTAGAATGAAAAGAAAGGACTGAGAAGGAATTTGAGGCAATACCCATATTTAAGGAGCAGTAGGGAAAAGGGTAAGGTGAGATTCTTGAAGAAGGTGTAGTTCTTGCAGTATTTTGTGTATATGTGTGTGTGTGTGTGTGTGCATGCTATTAAAATAATCTCAAGCTTGTTAGTTTAGCCTCTTCCCCTTAAATATAAAGAGCTTCCCCTTACCGGCCCTATTTTGTCATACTGATGTCCTAGGGCATGGTTACAGAGGATGCTCATACAGGGTAATGAATGATGAACCCAACAGAGTCTTGTGGTGAGGCAATTGTCAGTTTAATGCAAGTTCAGGAAGGAGCAAGGCCCTCTCCATATCTCTGTGAGAAGAGATTGGGGTAGACCCTGGGGTGGTGGTAATGGGCAGGTTGCCATTCAGGTGAAGGCCTGTCTGACAGGGAATGAGGAGTCAGCTCCCAAACCTCTCCTGGGGACAGAAATCTCCTAGCTCTGGGCTCTCTCTCTCATGGACAACTTCAGAGATTAGCTTTTTAGGTTTCTAAAGGCCCCTCTGGAAATCCTTCACATTGCTACGTTTCTCCCCAGTTTTTTCCCCCACATGGTCTTTATGCCTCATCATATACATGCCTGCTTCCTAATCAAATCAAATCAAAACTGTTTTCTTCTTCTTTCCCCTTGGTTTGATGGTCGGTCATACCTAGAACCCAAGCAATTAGTACCTGAAAACTGATGCCTCTTTCTAAGATATTCCAACCCATCCAGAAATTGTCTTTCATCTTTCTATTCAGTAAATAAAAGAAAAAAAATTTCTATAGCAAGAAAAACTAAAGATTCAGACCTTGCTCCATATATATAAATTTTTTTTGAGACAGTCTTGCTGTCGCCCAGGCTGGAGTGCAGTGGCACGATCTCAGCTCACTGCAGCTCCATATATATGTTAAACATTGTTGAGATTACATATTACATACAGTTTTGTATCCTGCTTTATTTAATACTATAGTTTGAGAACATTTTCATATTACCAAAAGACATCCTAAACATCATGTTTAACACCTATATAATTGATCATTTCATATTACAATATTTTTCACCTTTCCTGTCTCTAGTATAATGGTCTTTAATGCATAAAAGACTGACAAAATAGGCTGGGCACAGTGGCTCACACGCAGTACTTTGGGAGGCCAAGGCAGGCAGATGGCTTGAGCCCAGGAGTTCGAGACCAGCTGAGGCAACATGGCAAAACCCCATCTCCACAAAAAATACAAAATTAGCCAGGTGTGATGGAACATGCCTGTAGTCTCAGCTATCCAGGAGGCTGAGGTAGGAGGACCACCTAAGCCTGGCAAGATGGAGGCTACAGTGAGCCAAGATAACATCACCACACTCCAGCCTGAGAGCAACATCCTGTCTCAAAAAAAAAAGGTGGGGGGGCTTACAAAATAGAAAAGATGAATTCTACATATTTGTTGAAAAGCACAATCTCAGTCTCTCATTTCTCACAGCATCTATCAAAGGCTATCAGTCCACTCACTCTCAGGTACCCTACGATCCCCCAAGCAGTAGGGACCTGGGTGCCTGAGCCACATCCTTGTTGCTTGTTACCATGTTTTGATGTTGGGCCATAAGCCCTAAGAGAAAAGCTAGAAGACTCAACCCAGTGGAAGTGATTGTATTCGTCTGTGCTCACACTGCTAATAAAGACATACCTGAGATTGGGTAATTTATCAAGGAAAGGGGTTTAACTGACTCACAGTTCAGCATGGCTGGGGAGGCCTCAGGAAACTTACAATATATGTCCTTCTTCACATGGTGGCAGCAAGGATAAGTGCAGAGCAAAAGGGAGAAAGCCGAAAGCCTCTTATAAAACTATCAAATCTCATGAGAACTCACTATCGCGAGAACAGCATGGAGGTAACTGCCCCCTTGATTCAGTTACCTCCCACCGGGTCCCTCCCATGACACGTGGGGATTATGGAAACTACAATTCAATATGAGATTTGGGTGGGGACACAGCCAAACCATATCAGTGGTCATCTTGTCTAAACAAGGATGCTGTTGAGCTCATTATCCATTAGCTCACACAGTGTCTCTTTTTACAAGAACATTTTGTGTTCTGCAGAATAAATCTATGTCTGGTCTTACTACCTAGAATCGTTGGCTTCTTCTGAGTAATTGGCCTGCTTTTATCTTATGGATACTGTAAATTGTATGACTGATCAGATTTCCTTTTATCCACAGGCTGCTAGAAAGCTTCTAGCCAAATTTGTGGTCCTCTTAGCAAGTGTATAGGTCAAATGATATATATTTTTGGCCTCATTCCTGGCTCTGTTTTATGTCTGTCTTTGCCATTGTTTTTCTCTCTCCTACAGAATACTTGAGATTATCTTGTATTTTATACAGCTCCGCCTGCTGCCTTAAGCCTCTTCTGAAACTAGGCAGTTAAGCATACTGGTTCAGAGCCTGCCTCTGGCATTAGAGCCACTGTCCCTCCATTTTTTCTGTACCTCAGTTTCCTCCTCCATAAAAAGGAAATACAGTATTTGCTTCACAGAGTTCTGATGAGGATTAAATGACAAAATACATGTAAGGACCTCAGATGTGTGGCTAGCTTGTGGTTAAGCGCTTAAAAGAAATTTTAAAATAATTACAAAGAAGTCGTTGTAATCATTCTCCTATTATTGGAGTTTAACCTTGTATAACTAACTCACTCCAAGTAGAGTTAGTACTAGGTCCAAGAGTGTGAATGTTTTGAAGGCTGTGAACTAGTTTATGTATCAGTTGGAGTGGAAAAGAGCTCCAGCTTTCCCATGCCTTTATCAATGCTGAATGCTATTACTTTTAAAACTCTTTGCCAATTTGGGCCGGGTGCGGTGGCTCACGTCTGTAGTAACAGCATTTTGGAAGGCCGACGCGGGCAGATCACGAGGTCAGGAGATCGAGACCATCCTGGCTAACACGGTGAAACCCCGTCTCTACTAAAAATACAAAAAAATTAGCCAGCCGAGGTGGCGGGCGCCCGTAGTCCCAGCTACTCGGGAGGCTGAGGCGGGAGAATGGCGTCAACCCAGGAGGCGGAGCTTGCAGTGAGCCGAGATCGCGCCACTGCACTCCAGCCTGGGCGACAGATGGAGAAAAAAAAAAAGACTCTTTGCCAATTTGACAGGTAAAAAAGGAGTATCATCTTATTGTCCTTCCAATGTACATTTTATTGGTAACTAATGAGATCGAACCTTCTGACTCAAACCACTACATTTATTTATTTATTATTTCTATTTCTTCTCTTTCTTTCCATCTTTTGCAATTTTTCCATTGCGGTCTTTGTGTTTCCTTTAATCTATTTAAATAAGATGATGGACTCTTATTTTCTGTCTCCAGTCATCTGCTGAGAGGGAGTCGGAGTACAGGGGCTTGAAAGAGGTAAGATTCACAGGCAGAAACAGAAAAAGGGTGACCAAGAACACGTAAACGATCAGACCAGCATGTGAGTCCTGCAGAGTGAGCTGTCATCTGATTAGCTGAGAATGGATGCACAGTTCTAAAATCTAAACACAGTTTATAGAAGAACATACCCATAATCTGTCTCCTCTTGTTCTTTTAAAACATGACCAATTCCAGAAAAAAATCATCATTGTTTTGTTCTTTAAGTGGGAAATAAAATTCCTTGAATCACAAAGTAATTTTAAGATGCTAATCAAACCCTTAGCTGTTACAAAGACTGTTTGCAGATGAGTAATTATTTTTGTTGCCATGGAACCCCAGCTGATGCTATGGGCATGGAACCAGCTTGCACAGATCATTTTTATCAAACCAAGTCAAACCAATCAGTATAGCTACTAAATCATTTCAGTTTAAAACGCTTTCTCTCATTGCTGGTGGAGGGAAGTTAGATGGTTTGGCACTGTTTTGCACACCCAGCTCAACTTCTTAGTTCTCTTTTTTGACATTTTTGCTTTTTCTGTTCTTTTTATTTATATTTTATTTTATTTTATTTATTTGTTTGTTTTTGAGTCAGAGTCTTGCTCTGTCACCCAGGCTGGAGTGCAGTGGTGCGATTACAACACATTGCAGCCTCAACTTCCCAGGCTCAAGCAATTTTCCCACCTCAGCCTCCCAAGTAGCTGGGGCTACAGGTGTGAGCCACCATGCCCAGCTAATTTTTTATTTTTTGTAGTGACGAGGTCTCACTATATTGCCCAGGCTGGTCTCAAACTCCTGGGATCAAGCAATCTTCCTGCCTTGGCCTCCCAAAGTGCTAGGGTTACAGGCTTGAGCCACTGCACCCAGCCTGTTCTTTTTAAAAAAAATTTAATAAGTACAAAGCACATGCCATAATAGTATTCTGATTTCTCCTAATAAGGACCCTGGGTATCTCAGCCTATTTTCATGAGGATACTGAGTACCAAAATATACTGTGGGCAGCCCATGATCACATGCTGGACAGAGCGACACAAGCCTTATATACAACTTCTTTAATGTGCTACTAGAGTTTCTGGGTGACTGAGGAGAACACAGTTACAAACTCTTGGTTTTAATTTGGTAAACAAACTTGAAGGTTGATTCCATTGTGCTTTTCTCTAACTTAAAAAAAAAATAACAGCAGGGCATGGTGGCTAACACCTGTAATCTCAGCACTTTGGGAGGCTGAGGCAGGAGGATCATTTGAGCCCAGAAGTTCAAGACCAGCCTGAGCAACATAGCAGAAACTCCATTTGTAGAAAAATTTAAAAATTACCCAGACATGGTGGCACGCACCTGTAATCCCAGCTATTTGGGAGGCTGAGGTGGGAGAATCATTTGAGCCCAGGAGGTTGAGACTGCAGTGAGCTGAGATTGTGTGACTGCACTCCAGCCTGGATGACAGAGCAAGACCCTGTCTCAAAAAAAAACACACACACACACACAAACATGATTTGGATAGATAGATAGATAGATAGATAGATAGATAGATAGATAGATAAACTTACCCCTTACAACACCCCAGGCCCCAGGATACTAAGGGTAATAATAAAATATTATTATTATTATTCCCATTTTATGGTGAGGAAATGAAGGCACAGAGAAGTTATACACCTTACGTGAGGCCTTACAGCTGATAAACGATGTTTGTCAACTCTGAACTGTCTTTCCTAGGCCAGGTATTCCTCTCTCACTCCACTTTCTACTACTTCCTCCTATCCTCACTGAGTGTCTACAAATTATAAGTCACGTTCTCTACCAAAATGCTATAATGGATAAAACAGTGGACTAGTAGTCACAAGACTTAGATTCATGTCCCATGTGGCCATGGTAAAGTCACTTAACCCCACTGGGCTTCGGTTTCACCATCTGTCACATGAGAATAATAATAATACTAACTTCACAGGGCAGTCACAGAAATCAAGTGAGATGACGGAGGTGAAAGATCTTTGTAAGGTGAAAAGTTGAAGCAACTCCTATGATTTTTCATTACCTCTGCTAGTGAGTGTTGTCAGTGAGGTTTCACAGAACAGGTGATATTGGAACCAAGTTGTGAAGTGGGGATGTGTGTTCTGAGATAATCACAGATCACTTACTGAACAACTCTGGTGTTCCAGGCTCTGTGCTAAGAACTATATACACATTGTCTCATTTAGTGCCATCAACAGCTCTATCAGCTCTTTCAGGTAGGCCCTGCTCACACTGCTCACATAAAGGCCTGCTAGCATGATTCAAGAATGGTTTGGTCACGTCGCTGTCGACCAGTCACAGCCCAAAGAGAGAGTGCTGGTGGCTGGAACAATAAACTGTGCAGACTTTGAAGGTGGCAGCCCAGGTCCTCAGAATGAGCAGATCTGCAGGAGCCAAGCCATGCACTGTGAGCTCAATTAAGACACAACAGGAACAATTCCCTTTGGTCAGTGGCCACATCCTGTGAGGGTATAGCCTGGGGCATAACTGGCATGTCAGTTCCATCTGGCTTTTTCCATTGCATTGGGAGACTTTGGAGGCTTTTCTTAATTGGTTTTGACAATGATTCTGGTTTAAGCCTTGTCTGCCCTCAGTCACATCAAGAGCACAAAAGCATAAAAAGACTAGAAACCCTGGATTGCCTCCAAAATGGACCTCCAACTTATAAAGCAACAAGCTAATGAATGCATTTTAAGGCATACGCGATGCAAATGAGCCACGTGAAAAAAAAAACAGAGTTGGTGATTTTTTTTCATGTTTCTAAACATCACTCCTGAAGCATTTAGTACAACTGAAAAATTGGAATGGACAACTGAAGCAATTGCTACACAAAACATGAAATACCAAGGGCATGAGGGACGGGCTTTCCAGACTATGGGAGGATATCGTGAAGCTGAACATGCAGGGCCCCAAGGGAAGAAATCTGGTTGAGCAATGTGGACAGGGTGGGCTGGGGGATAACTCATATCACAACATAACCAACTAATTTTTAAAAATCACTTTTTCACCTCAGGACCAGAGATTCTATTACTCACCCCCAAGACAAAACTGAAGAAATCCTGGCCCCTCTTAATTGTTTACATGAATGTGATGGGCCAAATTCTGATGAGATAAGTGAGTGAGGCTGGCTCCATCTCGCATGTGGCTAAGGCAAGACTGATGCATTTATTACCCATCTTGTTACGTGGAAAATATTCTCCGTGATATACCTGTTCCACCCTTCAGCTCTGGCTGAGTATAGACAGGTAGAGGTGCACTCAAAGCCACTTCCTTCCATAAGACCAGGCGTATGAGCTCAGAAGGACTCCTCACAGAAAACAAGGGAGGTGGGCAGAAGAAACTCGGGTCACCAGGAAGGTGTCGGTGTCAAGCTACACTTACTTTGACCTTTTGCCCTAAAGAGAATGCTCTCTTAGCAACCTTTCCAAATATATATACAGCCTAGGACAATGGATGCCGAGTGATGGCTCCATTATTAATCCACCAAACCATGTTTAAAGCTATTTACTTCATAATATTAGGTCCAAACCATACTTGGCTCTTCTGGATGGAGGCTGAAAATGAACATTGTAGGTGCAAACAATCTCTCTCTCTCTCTTTTTTTTTTTTTAGGGGGAGTCTCACTCTTCTTGCCCAGGCTGGAGTGCAATGGCATGGTCTCGGCGCACTACAACCTCCACCTCCTGGATTCAAGCATTTCTCCTTCCTCAGCTTCCCAAGTAGCTGGGATTACAGGTATGCACCACCACACCTGGCTAATTTTGTATCTTTAGTAGAGATGGGGTTTCACCATGTTCGTCAGGCTGATCTCGAACTCCTGACCTCAGATGATCCGCCCACCTTGGCCTCCCAAAGTGCTGGGATTACAGGTGTGAGCCACAGCGCCCGGCCAGGTGCAAACAATCTCTAATGGAACATGTTTGAGACCAAAGGGAATGATTTTCGTATGTCTTCATTGAGCTCGCCAGTGCATGGCTTGGGTTCTTGTAGATTCATTCATTTTTGAAGACATGGGTTAACATGTTCAAAGCCTGTGCAAAATTCTGTGATTTTTTTGAAAAAACAGGACACAGAATAAGTTGAGTTAGGAGGATCCTGTGGAATGACAGTTATAGTAACTAACTGTAGCCAACTGTGACCTACTTCTAACTAAAGGCAATATGCATTATCGATCAAAAAAATAACCTGACTGGGCTCAGTGGCTCACGCCTATAATCCCAACACTTTGGGAGGCCAAAGCAGGCAGATCACCTTATAGTAATAAGGTGGATCATCTTATAGTAATGATAAGAGTCAACCTAGCCTACAGTGGGAAATTGAACTATGGCCACCAGTTGGCCTTAGGAAAAATTACAAAAGATGGGAGCAGGAGAGGGGAAATAGGTCAATCCCGAATCATTCAACTGAACTTATAATAAGGAATATGTTCAAACATTGAAAGGGAAGGCAAAAAGAGTAACAAAATAGATGATCAAATCATGAATAGAAAATATGTAGTTGTTTTATAAATGTTACACCTTCTTCACATTGGAGTTCAAATACGTACGGAAATAAGAAACTTGTTATTGTGTTTCTCCTCTATATACTGGCATGGAAAAGGTGATGAGCCTTTATAACTGGGACTGCAAAGATATTGAGCCAGCCATTTACCATTTCAGAAGCTGTGTGTTTTGCAATATGCGGGTGTGGGTGGGTCAAATGTCCTTCTTAGGGATTCCCCTCTACCGTCAGGAAGCCACCCAGCATGCTAATCAGAAAGCCCAGTCTTGGGGCAGCTGCTACAAGTGCTTTCTCTTTAATGAGCACCTGAGACTTTTAAAGTTAGCATGGGCCCGCAGCAGTGGCTCACACCTGTAATCCCAGCACTTTTGGAGGCTGAGAAGAGGGATCACTGAGCCCAGGTGTTCATGACTAGCCTGGGCAACACAGGGAGACCCTGTCTCTACAAAAAATTAAAAAATTAGCCAGAAATGGTGGTGCATGCCTGTAGTCCCAGCTACTCAGGAAGCTGAGATGGGAAGATTGCTTAAGCCTAGAGCGTTGAGGCTGCATGAGCTGTGATCATGCCACTGCACTCCAGCCGGGGCGACAGAGAAAGGCCCTGTCTCAATAAAATAAAATAAAATAAAGTTAGCATCATTATGTTAGAAATGAGTTTCCAGTGTTAAAATTGGTAGTGGTAGGCCAGACGTGGTGGCTCACACCTGTAATCACAGCACTTTGGGAGGCCAAGTCAGGCAGATCACAAGGTCAGGAGTTCAAGACCAGCCTGGCCAATATGGTGAAATCCCATCTCTACTAAAAATACAAAAATTAGCCGAGCATGGTGGTAGGCGCCTGTAGTCCCAGCTACTTGGGAGGCTGAGGCAGGAAAATTGCTTGAACACGGGAGCCAGAGGTTACAGTGAGCTGAGATTGCTCCACTGCACTCCAGCCTGGCAACAGAGCGAAACTTCATCTCAAAAAAAAAAAAAAAGGCTGGGCGCGATGGCTCACGCCTGTAATCCCAGCACTCAGGAGGCTGAGGAGGGTGGATCACCTGAGGTCGAGATTTCGAGATCAGCCTGACCAACGTGGTGAAACCTCGTCTCTACTAAAAATACAAAAATTAGCTGGGCATGGTGGCAGACGCCTTTAATCCCAGCTACACAGGATGCTGAGGCAGGAGAATCACCTGAACCCAGGAGGCAGAGGTTGCAGTGAGCCAAGATCGCACCACTGTACTACAGCTTGGGTGACAGAGAAAGACTCCATCTCAAAAAAAAAAAAAAAAATGAGCAGGTTGTACGAACGGTTGTGTGCTTGCTTGCTGATAAGCGCATGCTCTATACAAATATATATGGGTGGCCTAATTTTGTCGAAACCTTGCTTTCATTATAACCGGGTACTCAGGGGTGGGGAGTAGCTAACTGTGACCCACTTCTAACTAAAGGCAATATGCGTTATCGATCAAAAAAATAACCTGACCGGGCACGGTGGCTCATGCCTGTAATCCCAGCACTTTGGGAGGCCGAGGCATGCAGATCACCTGAGGTCAGGAGTTCGAGACCAGCCTGGCCAACGTAGTGAAGCCCTGTCTCTACTAAAAATACAAAAATTAGCTGGGTATGGTGGCACACACCTGTAGTCCCAGCTACTCGGGAGGCTGAAGCAGGAGAATCGCTTGAACCTGGGAGGCGGAGATTGCAGTGAGCCAAGATCACGCCACTGCACTCCAGCCTGGGTGACAGATCGAGACTCTGTCTCAAAAAAAATAAAAATAGGTGCCGGGCGCGGTGGCTTACACCTGTAATCCCAGCACTTTGGGAGGCCGAGGTGGGCAGATCACGAGGTCAGGAGATCGAGACCATCCTGGCTAACACGGTGAAACTCCGTCTCTACTAAAAATACAAAAAATTAGCCGGACATGGTGACAGGTGCCTGTAGTCCCAGCTACTCGGGAGGCTGAGGCAGAATGGCGTGAACGCAGGAGGCCGAGCTTCCAGTGAGCTGAGATGACGCCACTGCACTCCAGCCTGGGTGACACAGCGAGACTCCATCTCAAAAAAATAAAAATAAAAAATAAAATAATAATAATAAAAAAACCTAACATTTAGGTAAGTTCAAATGATGTTATGTCAGTTAACAACTATGTTCAATATTCATTTCACTCTTCCTCCTTTGTGTAAAGGTTGTGGTATTTTGGTAGTGTTGACTCTTCCACCTGGTGGCTCTTAGTCAAGTCTTTGAGAGGGGCCTATAAGTAGTGCCTCTCACATGAGCCCGGGAGGCGGAGCTTGCAGTGAGCCAGAATAGCACCACTGCACTCCAGCCTGGGTGACAGAGCGAGACTCCGTATCAGAAAAAAAAAAAAAAGAAAAAATAGTGCCTCTCTTCCCACCTGGGTTCAGGGCCCATTGAAAAACAATCCAAAGGAAATGGCCAAATCATATATCGCCTGAGAGCACAGGGGGAGGGACAATGATCGGGATATAAACCCAGACATTCAAGCAGGGAGCGGCAACCTCCTTTGGGTCCCCTCCCATTTTATGGGAGCTCTGTTTTCACTCTATTAAATTTTGCAACTGCAAAGAAAAAAAGAAAAAAAAGAAAAGAAAAATAATCCAAAGGAATAAGGGAAATGGAGGTTCAAATATTGCTTTTATTACTAATAAAGGGTAATTTGAAAGATGAAGCTCTGTATGAAAGACCCAATGATGGTGCTAACTCCCTATCCTCCAGTTTACTATTCCTATCCTCAGAACACCTCACGTGAGGGCAAGCTTGGTACTGCAGAGCCGACACATAACCCTAGTGGCCACCTTCATTGGACTGGGAAGACAGAGAAGTAGAAACAGACCAAAATCTTCATGCTTGGGACCTTTGATAATTTAGCTTCACCCAATCAAGAAATGAGGCCCAATGGCTGTCATTAACAGTCAGGCAACATGTCCAATCCACACGGAGAATATTAAGAGATGGAGCAAGTGGCATTATCTCAAAACACCTAGTATTAAGAAAAAAATGCACCAACAAATACCTTATGCGGTGTTCCATCATCAGATCACTGTCCTTCCATGTCCTTAGACCACAATCAAGCAAAAGGCAAGAATTAGCTGCTCTTCAGGAGCCTCCTCCCCCGACTCAGTCCATCCCCACCAGCTACACCTGTCGGGTAGAGGATAAAGGATCTGTAAGTCTGGGGCCTCCCTGCAGTTCCACAACATAGCACTCCGAGCACAGTGCACAGCTAACCACGACCGTCCCCACTGGAAACACTGCCACCTCCAGGGTATTATCTGGGAGCAGATCAGTATTCCGCACCAGCTTAAGAAGGAATTCTCATCCTCCGTTCCTTCCAAACTTGAAGAGCTCCTTTCTGCTCTTAGCTCTTCAGTTATGCAAACATAAACCCAGGAATGTGACATTGAAGTCATCTCCACTTTACAGATGATGAAAAAGTTAACCTTGTCTTTTGTTTTGTTTTTGAGACAGGGTCTCACTCTATCGCCCAAGCTGGAGTTCAGTGGAATGATCATGGCTCACTGCAGCCTTGACCTCCTAGGCTCAAGTGATCCTCCAACCTCATGTGCCATCACACCTGGCTAATTTTGTTTATTTTTTTGTAGATACAGGGTGTTACTATGTTCTCCAGGCTGGTCTCGAATTCCTGGGCTCAAGTGATTCTCTTTTCTCAGCCTCCCAAAGTGCTAGGATTACAGGTGTGAGCCACCACGCCTGGTGAACCTTGTTTAAATCATCAAACTCTAGATTTGAAAGCAAGTCTTCAGTCTATTTAGCAAAAGCTCTAAACTTTTTCAAAACTCAGCATTTACCTCTAGAGATAAAGTTTTTTAGGAAGCACACACAAAAAATCATACAGCTCAGGCTTTGGAGGAATATAAAAGGAAATTGTATTTTAAGTGAATTTCTTTCTCAAAAAAGGAAGCAGATTTAAAGCGTTATTTTTTGCACTGTTGGTTCATTAGATTAGGACATAAATATGGCTCAGCTGTTGTCTATTTTAGCAAAATAGATTCAAGGCGCATGGAATGAACTGAGTCATCACTGTGGCTTCTATCCAGACCAAAAACAAAGTTGGGATACAATGATAGTCATGGAAGCATTTTAAGTGTTAGAATTTTGATGAATTTCTCTTTTTTTTGAGACAGAGTCTTGCTCTGTCACCCAGGCTGGAGTGCAATGGCGCGATCTTGGCTCACTGCAAGCTCCACCTCCCGGGTTCAGGCCATTCTCCTGCCTGAGCCTCCTGAGTAGGTGGGATTACAGGCGCATGCCGCCACCACGCCCGGCTAATTTTTTTGGTATTT
The DNA here is from genome assembly GCF_000001405.40 of Homo sapiens. Classification (NCBI taxonomy): domain Eukaryota; kingdom Metazoa; phylum Chordata; class Mammalia; order Primates; family Hominidae; genus Homo; species Homo sapiens. Next base: position 32,083,406 of record NC_000012.12, on the reverse strand, counting down.
TTAGTAGAGATGGGGTTTCACCGTGTTAGCCAGAATCGTCTCCATCTCCTGACCTCGTGATCCGCCCACCTCACCCTCCCAAAGTGCTGGGATTACAGGCGTGAGCCACCACATCTGGCCGAATTTTGATGAATTTCAACATTTTATGTAGGGAAAAAGTAACATTTAAAAAACACAGCAAATTGCTTAGTGTTTGTAGTATATCTTAAAGCGCCTATAATATTTGGTCAAAAATGGCCGGGTGCGGTGGCTCATGCCTGTAATCCTAACACTTTGGGAGGCTGAGGCGGGAGGATCATGAGGTCAGGAGATCAAGACCATCTTGGCTAACACGGTGAAACCCCGTCTCTTCTAAAAATACAAAAAATTAGCCGGGTGTGGTGGCGGACACCTGTAGTCCCAGCTACTCAGGAGGCTGAGGCAGGAGAATGGCGTGAACCCAGGAGGCGCAGCTTGCAGTGAGCCAAGATCATGCCACTGCACTCCAGCCTAGGCGACAGAGTGAGACTCCGTCTCAAAAATATATATATATTTGGTCAAAAATATGTAGAGACTGGGCAGGATTTTGTTGTTGTTTTGGGGATCACCACAAGAAAAGAAATACAGTGGGATAATGAGATTCATTGCAAGTGTAAATCTTGACATATAATGTTTATAAAAACAAGAGTCAGCCAGGCACAGTGGTTCATGCCTGTAATCCCAACACTTTGAGAGACCAGGGTGGGAGGATCACTTGAGCCCAGGAGTTTGAGACCAGCCTAGGCAACATAGTGAGACTGTCTCTATTTAAAAAAATTTTTGAAAAAAAAAAAAGACCTAAATGGAAATGAAAACAAAGTTTTCACCTCTACAACTTTAGGCAACCACCACAAGTACTGAGCATTGTTTCTTAGGAAATTGGAAAAGAGAGTTAGTGTCTATCAGAAACTGTACATATTAAATATTTTTGTAGGTTTTTTCAGTTTTGCTTTTTTAGAGACAGGGTCTCTCTCTGTCACCCAGGTTAGAACATAGTGGTGCAATCATAGCTCATTGCAGCCTCAAACTCCTGGGCTCAACCAATCCTCCTTCCTCAGCCTCCTGAGTCACTGGGACTAGAGGAGTGTGTACCACCACACCCGGCCTCAATATTTTTCGACTTCATACTACACAACTCTGAAGCATTATCCCTATTTTAGAGATGACAAAATTGGTGCCCATAAAGTTAAGATATATTACCAGAAGAGCCAGAATCCAAACCCAAGTTTGTCTTTTATAGAGTTCTCTGCTCTTCCTGGGGCATCTTCTACAGAGTTAGATAAAAACCAAGCCCTGGCCAGGCGCAGTGGCTCACGCCTGTAATCCCAGCACTGGAAGGCTGAGGTGGGCAGATCATTTGAGGTCAGGAGTTCGAGACCAGCCTGGCCAACATGGTGAAACCCTATCTCTACTAAAAATACAAAAATTAGCCGGGTGTGGTGGTGGGCACCTGTAATCCCAGCTACTTGGGGAGGCTGAGGCAGAAGAATCTCTCAAACCCAGGAAGCAGAGGTTGCAATAAGCCGAGATTGTGCCACTGTACTCTAGCCTGGGTGACAGAGCAAGACTCCATCTCAAAAAAAAAAAAAGATATAAACCAAGTCCCTCATTTTAACCAGAGGTCATCTCTGAGCTCAGACTGGGGCTTCTCAACATATGCATAGAGGCCAGGCGCAATGGCTCATGCCTGTAATTATACCACTTTGGGAAGCTGAAGCAGGTGGATCTCTTGAGCCCAGGAGTTCAAGGCCAGCCTGGGCAACATGGCAAAACTTCATCTCTACTGAAAAAGATACACAAAAATAGCCAGGCCTGGTGGGATGCGCCTGTAGTCCCAGCTATTTGGGAGGCTGAGACGGGAGGATTGCCTGAGCATGGAAGGTCAAGACTACAGTGAGCCATACTGGCACCACTGCACTCCAGCCTGGGTGACAGAATGAGACCCTGTCTCAAAAAAAAAAGATTAAAAAAAAAAAAGATTCAGTCCCAGACTCACCAACAATGGCATAAAACTCAGAAAAGATAGCGGTTGAACATTTTATCTATCAGGTATTCTGAAATATCTGAAAGTTGCAGGGTGTATAGTATGGAAAGAAATCTTTAACAAAATAAACCAAATTGATGAACAAACAGCCAAAACAAAACAAACAAACAAACAAAAACTCCTTTTCAGCAAACAGCTAAAGGCAAATAGACCTGAGATTTTTAAAGGGTTGCCTACTAACTAGGCCTCTGATATTCAAATAACATTATTTTAGTCCAAAGCAAAAGCTGAATTTGGTGTCAGTGTTAGCTGAAATGTGCTAAAATTTTTATTACTGATGTTCCCTTTTTCCTTTAAAAGTTTTTCTTAATTTTCTACATCCTCTTGAGTGTTTTAACTTACCTGTTGAGACCCTTTTTTTTATGAGCATGAAATCCCTATAAGATGATGTTAATAAGAAAAGCATGATTCCGTTTAAAGTAACTTCGTAGTCAAGTTTATGAAAACCAGGCAATTTTGCAAAGAGAGGCACATGTCATCTTTGGGGACATTCACTAATGAAAATTGGATTCAGTAACCTCCAGTGTAGCTACTAATGAATACATCAAGAAAATGGACTAGAATCTGCTATGTTTGAAGATTTCAGAGAGTAGACATATTGCTGTACTGCGAAATAGAGATAGACAGTTCATTTGTACACTTGTCACAGTTCTCTCTGAGAAATGTTGTCAAAGGAAAAACAGGCTCTGAAAATGAATGAACAGGGTGGGTGTGGAATTCAGAGAGGACTTCACTCTGGTATTTGGTTTCTGGCAGGAGCAGGAAACCTTCCGTCTGCCACTCGGAGACTCCCTGCCAGTGGATTGACATTCTGTGCTGTCAGGTGAGTGGGGGTGAAAAGCTCTCCAGAATCTTTCAAGAAAAGCAATATCCTTGTTACTTGTCAATGTCCTTGACAGCCTATGGGACAAACTGTCATCTTAGCTGGTGGTACTAAAATAATGAACATTGACCTTAAGAGAAAAAAAAATCTAACAGTTTAGCACAGAATAATCAACTAAGAAACTTACGGGGTTTTTCTTAAGGTGTTAAAATATGCCCATTACTCAGGTGAGGAATTTGGTAACTGTTTGAAAGCATTTCCCCATCCTTTCAGTTCAATAAGACTTCTCATAACTAGTTAGAAGTCCCTTTATTTAACATCTCTTATAAGATCACAGCAACATAGAAGAGATGTCCCACAGGTTGAGTGTTTTTCATACACTCATGTAGAAAGAGAAGGAGGCCAAGTGCCATGGCTTATGCCAGTAATCCTGACACCGGGAGGCTGAGGCCAGAAGATCGTTTGAGCCCAGGAGTTTGCGACAAGCCTGGGCAACATAGGGAGACTCTGTCTCTGCAAAAAATGAAGATAAAAAATTAGCGAGCGTGGTGGTGTATGCCTATAGCCCCAGCTACTCAGGAGGCTGAAATGAAAGGATCACCTGAGCCTGGGAGGTCCAGGCTGCAGAGAGCTGTAATCACGCCATTGCACTCCAGCCTGGGCCGCAGAGCAAGACCCTGTCTCTGGAAAAAAAAAAAAAAAAAAGACAAGGAAAGTTTCATTTGGCCATATTCCTCCAGAAGGAAACTTAGAATAGGTAAAAAAAAAAAAAAAAAAAATTAACAAAGTACTTGAAATAGATCACCATCTTATGTTTTTAATGTTTGTGATTTTTTTTTTTTTTGAGATGGAGTCTCACTCTGTCACCCAGGCTGGAGTCCAGTGGCGCAATCTCGGCTCACTGCAACCTCTGCCTCCCAGATTCAAGCAATTCTCCTGCCTCAGCCTCCCGAGTAACTAGGATTACAGGTGCCTGCCACCACTCCCTGCTAATTTTTGTATTTTTAGTAGAGAGGGGGTTTCACCATGTTGGCCAGGCTGGTCTCGAACTCCTGACCTTGTGATCCGCCTGCCTCGGCCTCCCAAAGTGCTGGGATTACAGGTGTGAGCCACCGCACCTGGCCGTGAATATTTTAATGTAAGCTTGTATACTGTGCTACCTAAAAGAAATGTTAAGGACAACAGCTTAACTATGGCAAGGAGTCACCATTTCCATCATTCATTCATCATGGTTCTCATTTCCAAAATTCCACCTCAAAGCCATTCTAGCACTACGAGTTTTTTGGAGATGCTGCTGAATTGCAATCTAAACTCTCTGCCTTACAGTAGTAACTGAATGCGCAGCTCTTCTGTAAAGAAAGAGCCTTCCTCAAGGAGGCCTTGGCGGATCCCGCTATTGGCCCCATCTCCCTTTCCATCCTGCACTCTGGATACCGGAAAACTCGGAACTCTGTTTTCTAAATCCCCTTGCCCAGTGGAACTGTGGGATTGGGGGTCACTGCAAAGATACCCAAATAGGGCATTGCTTAGTAAAGTCGTGGGTCAGGGCCACTCCTAAGACATCAGAACTGTAGAGCCATTAGCATGCAACACTAGCCTGGGAGAGCCACAGACACAAGACTCCAACCCATGACAGCTGCACCCAGCAAAGCCATGGGGGTAGGGCCACCAGGAGCTTTGAGAGTCCAACCCTCACCCATTGTGTCCAGATGGTCTGTCATGGAGTCAAAGAAGATGGCTCTCAGGCCTTAAAATCTAATGTTGTTGGTCCCGTTGGGTTTTGGGCTTTTACTTGGGACTTGTTATCCCTTTCTTCTTTCCTATTTCTCACTTTTGGAAGAAGTGTGTCTATCCCATGCCTGTCTCCATTGTATTTTGGAAACATGTGACTTGTTTAATTTCACAGGTATGAGCTAGAGGGGAATTTGCCTCAGGTTAAATCATGCCTTGAGTCTCAACCATATCCGTGTAACAAGAGACTCTGGACTTTTGAGTAGATGATGAAACAAGTTAGGACATTTGGGGCTACTGGCATGGAATGAATGCATTTTGCATGTGAGAAGGATATTTTGGGAGGATGGGGGGCGGAATGCTATGGTTTGAATGTTTGTGTCCCCTCCAAAATTCATGTTGAAACTTAATCCCCAATGCAACAGTGTTGGGAGGCGGGGCCTAATGAGAGGTGGTTAAATCATGAGGGCTCTGCCCTGGTGAATGGATTAACTTTGCCATAAAACAAGCTTGCAGGAGTGTGTTCTCTCTCTCCTGCACTTCTGCCACATGAGGACTCAGCGTTCCTCTTCTCTGGAGGATGCAGCAACAAGGCATCATCATGGAACCAGAGACTCAACCATTGGTGCCTTTATCTTGAATGTCCTAGGCTCCAGAACTGTGAGAGAATAGATTTCTGTTCCTCATAAGTTACCCAGTCTGTGGTATTCTGTTATAGCAGCACAGAATGGACTAAGACAAATCCCTTTCTGCTTAAATTGGCTAGATTGCATTACTTTGCTTGGAATTAAGAACCTGACAAATACAAGCCTGCTCCCTGAATTGCAAGAGCATTTTGGGGAATTCAATAGACCTGGATATGAAAACTGGCTCTACTAATTGCTGGCTGAGAGGCCTTACGCAAGCTCTCTAACATTACTGTGCTTATGTTTCCTCTGCTATAAAAGGATGGTGGAGGAGGAGGCTAATACCTACCACATTGGGCTGATTGTGAAGATCGAATGAGGTAATGTCTGTAACATATGTGGTGTGGTGCCTGGCACATAGTAGGTCCTCCATATATCATCGTTTCCTATATTTTAAAAATATAATTTTTTTTGGAGTGGAGTACCAAACCTTTTAGAGAAAAGTGCAGCTGAACATCCAGTGGTGGGCAAGAACAAGTAGACAGCTCAAAGCTAGGACACTAGGAAAAATAAAATTCTGAGAGAGGTTGGGGCCAGGAGTATGTGCATGTGAGGACACAGTAAATGTCGTATGAGATAAAGCCTAGAAATAAGACCAGACTGATGTGTTAAAAGAAGAAAATTAACTACAAGTTAGAAAGGCATGCTTTTCTACTCGGGAGGCTGAGGGAGGTGAATCGCTTGAACCCAAGAGGCAGAGGTTGCAGTGAGCCGAGATCGCGCCATTGCACTCCAGCCTGGGATAGAGTGAGTCTCCGTCTCAAAAAAAAAAAAAAGAAAAGAAAAAGAAATGCATGCTTTTGCAAATAAAAGAAAACACAACTTCAGGCTTAAACAAATAATAGGTAATTTTTCCCACAGCATAAATTCAGAGGTGGATTGTTGCTGGCATCAGTTCAACTGCAAAATGATGCCATCAGGGATTCAGATTTCTTCCCACCCTGCTGTGCTTGGCATATTGGCATTTGTCCTCATGTGTGCCATCTCAAGATTTCGAAGAGGCCGCTCCTGCTGCTCCAGGAATGCCCCCCGTTCAAGCTGGTGAAAAAGGGGAGGGGGAAAGCTTTTTTCTCTGGTGCTTTTGTGTGTTTTTCGGGAAAGGAATCCCTCTCAAGTCAGCTCCACTTCCATCTCATTTGCCAGACTGGATCATGTATCCACTCTAAATAAATTATTAGTCAAGGGAATAAGATCACAGGAACACTATGATTTTTTAAAATGCCATGTTAGGCCAGGCACAGTGGCTCATGCCTGTAATCTCAACGCTTTGGGAGGCCAAGGCTAGCAGATTGCTTGAGCTCAGGAGTTCGAGACCAGGCTGGGCAACATGGCAAAACCCCATCTCTACAAAAAATACAAAAATTAGTCAGGTGTGGTGGCGTGTGCCTGTGGTCCCAGCTACTTGGGAGGATGAGGTGGGCAGATGGCTTGAGCCCAGGAGGTTGAAGCTGCAGTGAGCCAAGATTGCGCCACTGCACTCCAGTATGGGCAGCAGAGCGAGATTCCGTCTCAAAAAAAAAATTTTTTTTTAATTAAAAATAAATAAATAAAGTGAAATATTATGTTAGCTTTGTGGTTTAGAAAGGGAAAGTCATGACAGACTCCCACTCCAAAAAGGTGGACAGATAAGAGTAAATTGAAGCAACAGAGTCACGCTATCTTTTCGCCACTCATTACTGGAAGTCCTTGTGAAGTGCCAAGCAGAGGAGCCTTTCTCAAAACCATACGTAGCCCCAGCCTCCAGATCTGCTGGGAATTAAACAGTGAGCTAGCAGGGAGGCGGAAGTAAGCCTAGAACAGACAAGCTGGGACTAAGAAAACATATTGGTAATAGACGCAATGCCCAAAGTGAAGACAGTATCTTAAAATTTAAAAGTCCAAAGCTAAGGAATCCATTCTGATAGACAGGAACCTCAGCATAGGAGTCTATGGGTACTGGTGAAACTTGCTGTCAAAATTATGGTACCATTGTGGATTCAGGGATAGCCAGGACACAGGACAAAGCTGTGGCTTCCGGGCACTGAGGCCAACTCCACTGGGAAGAAAAGAGAAGGCTAAAAGGAGCTATGCAGAAAATCTGGTTCATCACCAAATGGGCTAGGTTAATGGTGAGACTCACATCCTAGTAGGCACCTAAGAAGAATCCCATTCAATCAAACTGGACACATAAATTGCGGAGTGAGGAAGTGAGAAGAGGGAAAGTACCTCGAACTTTTCCCTAAGCTCATTTCAGCAGACCAGCTCCAGATCCTTCCCAGATGTTGGAGGTCCTAATCCAGTCAGATTTATTTTTCCTTGACTGTGCAGGGCTAGACCCAAGCTATGACACTCAGCTGTTGAAAGAGGGAATATTAATTCCTTCAACAACTTGAGCATCCTTTAGGTGCCAAGCACCATTCTAAGTGCTGGAGATACAACAGTAGACAGATGTAATCCCCACCCTCATGGAGTTCATTGGTTCCCCCTGAATAATTGTGGGGAAAAAAAAAAACTACTGACAAAGGCTGCAGCTTACCAAGGCTTCAGCATCCCCTGACCTAAGAAGAAATGTGAATCTCATGCAGGGATTAAAGATGTGTAAAATGCCAACCCTGTCTCCAAGGCCTGATGGCCTAAAGGGAAAGTTTCAATGAGGACACTCCTCCAGGAGACCTCTAAAGAGGCATAACCACCAACACAGAGACCATGACAGCTTCGAGAAACCAGCACTCCTGCCTCTCAGGGAGTGTTCCTGCACTTTCACGTAGGGCAAGGGCTGCATCTAGAGCTGCCCTTACTCTAGAACAGGGAAAGGCAGCTGGAGCATCCTCCACAAATCACCTGCCCCCTCTCCTTTGCTTCTTACCGTTATGTTTCCAGAGTCTGATATTCCTCTGGTAAACAGTGGACATCACCTGGTGATCAGTATACATCAAGAACAAGAGCACTGATGATAAATGTTATTAATACTAGAACTGTCATGCAACTGTCTACATTTCTTTTTTTTCTTTTTGATACAAAGTCTTGCTCTTGTCACCCAGGCTGGAGTGCAGTGGCGCATGCAGTGGCGCAATCTCAGCTCACTGCAACCTCCGCCTCTCGGGTTCAACTGACTCTTCTGCCTCAGCCTCCCCAGTAGCTGGGATTACAGGCACCCGCCACTGTGCCCAGCTAATTTTTTATTTTTAGTAGAGACAGGGATTTCAGTATGTTGGCCAGGCTGGTCTCGAACTCCTGACCTCAAGTGATCCACCTGCCTCGGCCTCCCAAGTGCTAGGATTACAGGTGTGAGCCACTAAGCCTGGCCAGCTGTCTAGATTTCTAACAGCTGTGCCCAGGACTTCACTCTTTTTTTTTTTTTTAATTCTTTTAATCATTTGGAAGGGTTTCACTCTTTACTTGAGTTACCTACTATGTGCCTGAAAATGCTTTCCTGCCACTGATTGCTTGCCTTACTAACCCAATGACCTCAATTACCAATATGAATGGAGGCATTGAAAAACAGTTCAGAAATGCAAAGTTACTCATGCAAACCACCACATTCTCATTCCACTCACCAGGTACTCTGTTAAAGCATATGTTATCAGGGCACATGTAATTTTCAGCCAACACCATTTCCCAAGGTGGTGGAGAATTTACATGCATTATTAAAATCAACATTCCAGTCTTTTCAACAAATGGTGCAGGAACAACTGCATATCTTCTTTTCCCTTTTCTTCTCTCTCTCTTTTTTTTTTTTTTAATGAGATAGGGTTTGGCTCTGTCACCCAGACTGGAGTGCAGTGGCACCATCTTGGCTCACTGCAACTTCTGCCTCCTGGGCTCAAGCGATCCTCCCACCTCAGCCTCCCAAGTAGCTGGGACTACAGATGCATGCTACCACACCCAGATAATTTTTTTGTATTTTTGGTAGAGACAGGGTTTCACCATATTGCCCAGGCTAGTCTCGAACTCCTGACGTCAAGCAATTAACCATCTTGGCCTCCCAAAGTGCTGGGATTACAGATGTCATCTACCACACCCAGCCTAAATTCTGCATATCTATATTGGAAAAAAAAAAAACCTCAATCCCTACCTCACACCACACACAAAAATTAACTCCATGTGGATCATAGACCTAAAGATAATTGCTAAAACCATGCAACACAGGGAAAAAAATATTTACAAACTTGCCAAAGCAGAAACCATAAAAGAAATAATTGGTAAGTTGCATTTTTATCAAAATGCAAAACTTCTGCTCTTTGAAAGACAAAATTAAGAAAATTAAAAGGCAAGCCACAGGCTGGGAGAAATCATCATAATACATATATCTGACAGAGGACTGGTAGTCAGAATACATACAAAATTCTCACAACTGGCCGGGCACAGTGGCTTACGCCTGTAATCCCAGCACTTTGGGAGGCTGAGGCAGGAGGATCACTTGAGTTCAGGAGTTCAAGACCAGCCTGGCCAACATGATGAAACCCCATCTCTACCAAAAATACAAAAAAATTAGCCAGCCAAGGTGGCACGTGCCTGTCGTCCCAGCTACTCTGGAGGCTGAGGTGGGAGGATGGCTTGAGCCCAGGAGGCAAAGGATGCAGAGAGCCAAGATTGCACCACTGCACTCCAGCCTGGGTGACAGAGCAAGACTCCATCTCAAAAAAAAAAAAAAAAAAAAAAAAAAAAAAAAAAAAAAAAAAAACTCTTACAACTTAGTAATAAAAAGACAACCTGACTGGCTGCCCAAACCAAACTTGGTTTCCCAGAATTGGCTGACAGAGCAAAAGCTTGTTTAATTTGAATCTGAAAAGGACACACAGTAACCCCTCACTCTTTGAGGAGGCTAGTGAGAGGAGTCAGATCTGGTGTTACGGGGTGAATTGTATTGTTTCCAACCCTCTCCATCCTTGCCCAAAATTCATGTGCTGAAGCCCTGACCTGCAGTACCTCGGAATGTAACTGTGTTTGGAGATAGGGCCTTTAAAGAGGTAATTAAGTTAAAATGAGGGGAAAACCCTTATCTTATACAAGTGATGTCCTTATAAGAAAAGGAAATTTGGACAGGTACAGAGCAAAAGACCATGTGAAGACACCGAGAAAACGGCTGTTTCCAAGCCAAGGAGAGAGGCCTCAGAAAAAACCAACCTTGATCTCAGACTTCTGGCCTCCAGCACTAATCTCCCAAGAAACAAACTCTTAGAACTGGCCTAGGAATATCTACGAAAACAATGGTAAAAATTAAAAAAAAAAAATTGTCACATGAGTTACCTGTCTCCTGCTGCAATCTGGTGTCCAAGGTGAAATACCATTGTATGGTGTACTAAGCAAGCCACAGGGTTTCCAGCCCATGCACAGAGTCATTCCGTCTCAGCCAGGTGAACTCCACATCATTTCCATCATAGCCCTCTGATAAAGGAAATGGAGCCCTGGTCAGTGCAAGGACATTGCAGATTGAACTAGTCTAGAAAATGCTATAATAGCCCGGCACGGTGGCTCATGCCTGTAATCCCAGCACTTTGGGAGGCTGAGGCGGGTAGATCACGAGGTCAGGAGATTGAGACCATCCTGACTAACATGGTGAAACTCCGTCTCTACTAAAAATACAAAAAATTAGCTGGGTGTGGTGGCGGGCGCCTGTAGTCCTAGCTACTCAGGAGGCTGAGGTAGGAGAATGGCGTGAACCCGGGAGGCAGAACATGCAGTGAGCAGAGATCGCACCACTGCACTCCAGCCTGGGCAACAGAGTGAGACTCCGTCTCAAAAAAAAAAAGAAAGAAAATGCTATAATATGTAAATAGCATGAGTTATGTCTTCGTGGTGACAAGTCCAAGGACAATCCCTGCAAAACTTGGCATGATTTCTCAAGTGCAATTGCAATGTCTGTTCAAAATGAAGTGACCTGCTGGGACTGTTTGCCGTCAATTGAGAACTGGTCCTATGCTAGATATTGTGTAGATCAGGTAAATGATAAGTCTTTAGAAGTGGCCTCCCTCATTATTTAAATGTTATTATTGAACAAATATCCATGAACACACAAAGCTTATGTTAGATACTGCCTTTCAAGACTGTCTAATAGCTCTCGTGGTATTTTCAGGGAACAGAATGTAGAACTGAGCTGTTCATATTTTCACATTGGCATAAACGCAAAACTAAAACAAAAAACCTGCACTCAGCTGCTTTCTTAAAGTCTGTAACATGTGTGTTAAATCTCAAAACAGTTTAATTAATACAGTTGATAATAGTAACAACAGTTACCCTTTGAACACTTATGTTAAGTACTTTATACATTATGTCACTAATGTTCTTGCAAACTTGCAAGGAAGCCATTTCTTCATTTCTAAGATGGACATGTCTTTACATTTTCTGAAGTTGAGATGGACTTTACAGTTGATTGTATCTATCTATCTATCTATCTATATAGATTTATATATATATATAGTAGAGCTTATATTTTTCCTAAAATGCTACTATCCAATAAATTCTGTTCCATAGGAAAAAAATGACAACCCATTTTCTTAAAATGAGTGAAAGATTTGAACAGACACTTTTTATTTTTTTTTTGAGACAGAGTCTTGCTGTGTCCCCTAGGCTGGAGTGCAGTGGTGTATCTCGGCTCATGGCAACCTCCGCCTCCCAGTGAATAGATGCTTTTACCAAAGAAGATATATGAATGATCAATCAGCACATGGAAAGATGCTCAAAATCATTAGTCATCAGAGAAACGCAAATTAAAACCACAATGAAATATCACTATCCACAATTAGAATAGCTGAAATTCATACCATTTTTCATTAAAAGCACCACACCTAAACCAGGTCCAGGGCGGAAAAAGTACAAAATAAAATTGGAAAAAAAAAAAGAAAAGGAAGAAAAATAAGCTTGGAACAGCTTGTTGCCCCAGAAAGTAAAAACATTATCAAAGGCTAATGATGGGACACATCAAATAACAAAAAATTCCATAAGCCAGCTTGAAGAGGGTCCTTTTGGTCAAAGATAAGATGATTTGAACATCAAGAAGAATTATTATTTCAATTGATTAAAATAAATAAAAATATTACTCTGGGGGCTGAGGTGAGAAGATTGCTTAAGCCCAGGAGATTGAGGCTACAGTGAGTTGTGTTCGCACCACTGCACTCCAGCCTGGGTGACAGAGTGAGACCCTGTCTCAAGTAGATAAACAAATATATAAATAATAAAAAGTCATAATTTTTTTAAAGAGGAAAGAACAAACACGCCATAGTGAATGAATCGAGCAAAGGTTGCTGTGCACCAACTCATTACTCCAAAAACTGATAATTAAGGGGAAAGAACCGAGATTTTATATCACCTTTCCAGTATGAACAGTATTTCCTGGAAATCAAATAACCCTACTAGATAAGAGTTCTATATAGAATAATTACAGATAATAAATGTAGTATTAGAAAGTCAACATTTTGTAGCTCCTAATAAAATGACTTAAATACTGGTTATCAATAGATGACAAAATCATTAGGTAAAAAGGTTGATGCCACCACTTGAACTCGCTGATCCATCTTAGCAGCCACTGTAAGTGAAACAACCAGCTATTGCATGCTTTTGAATATGAGGCAATAGGAAGCATACAGCACCACCTATGAAGTAGTCATAAACTAAGCAATACAAAGCAAAACCTTAAACCTGAATCTATTCAAGCCTGTAGTCTACAAGAAAAATAGAAGATAGAGGAAAAAGTTAGGTAACACTAGGAGGAAATATTTAGTCAAAGTCAGAATTTAGGACATCATGCAGGACAACTAACCTGTCTTTGTAATCAAGTCAATGGCATTAAAAAAAAAAGTGTGGGCTCTAATAGAATCTGTAGAAACTCAACATAATCTAACCTTACTGAGGATGTTGAATAAAGGGACTGACCAAATTTACTGTCACATAGATTGTCAACCTAAAATAACCAAAAGGCTCAGGATCCAGTTAAAAGAGTTTATTACACTATTCAGCCATAAAAAAGAATAAAATCATGTCTTTTGCAACAACATGGATAGAACTGGAGACCATTAATTTAAGTGCAATAACTCAGAAACAGAAAGCTAAATACGGCACATTCTCACTTATAAGTGGGAGCTAAATACTGTGTCCACATGGACATAGAGAGTGAAGTGATAAACAATGGGGACTCAGAAGGGTGGCGGGGCTGGGTGCAGTGGCTCAGGCCTGTAATCCCAACACTCTGGGAGGCCAAGGCGGACAGATCACTTGAGGTCAGGAGTTTGAGACCAGCTGGACCATCAGGGTAAAACCCCAGGAGGCTGAGCCATGAGAATCGCTTGAACCCAGGATGGGCGACAGAGAAAGACTCTGTCTCAAAACAAAACAAAACAAAGCAAAGCAAAACAAAACAAAGCAAAACAAACAAACAAACAAAAAAAACAAGAAGGGTGGGAGGATGTAGAGGGATGAGAAATTACTTAATGGGTACAATGTAGTATTTGGGTGATGGCTACACTAAAAGCTGCTGTGAAAATATATCCATGTAACAAAACTGCACTTGTACTCCCTGAATCTATAAAAATAATTTTAAAAATAGCTTATTCAAGTGCAAAGTGTGAGGGTGGCTGTATGGGAAAACAGGGATACCAAAGAATGGCGATGAGTGCTCCCCAGTGTAGAGAAAGGTAGGGGTCATTTATATAGGAAAAAACAAGAATGCTGAACAGAATTACATTTTCCACACAAGACTAACAAACAGTTACAAGACCTGATTGGTTATGATCGATTACGCTCTAAGTGGTTGCTTAACATTTCATATAAAGAGGTAGATAAAGAGTCTCTATCTCCAACAAGATTTAATCTAGGTTTGAATAAAGCATAGGAGTCTGGTTAATGTATAACATCTCAACACAAAGGTCAGGAAGCAATGGTTGTGCACCAGACAAGAAAAACAGCCATATTATGTGAGTCAGTTTCCGGGACTTAATTTTTCCCCTTGGCATAATAAATCTGAAATTTTCTTTTCTTTTCACAGATGTTCTGTTAGAGACAACTGTAGGGAGTACTGATGAAAGAAATATAAAAACAGAACATCAAAGTAAACTTTATTGAATCAATACTGACTGTTCACTGTAGGATGATGTATAACAATTGGAGCTTTAACTCCAGATTAAATAGAGCTGAAAATACATCATAGCTTTGTAATCACTTATAAGCTATCTGAATACATGAATTTAAATACTTTTTTTTTTTTTTTGCTTAACAATTAAATTAGCTAATTCTATACTTATGAATTGGCATTTTCCCTTGGGTCTTAATTTCTTGTTTCTCCAACATGATGTTTTTTTCACAGACAAGGTCTCACTCTGTTGTCCAGGCTGAAGTGCACTGGTACAATCATAGCTCACTGCAGCCTCAAACTCTTGGGTTCAAGCGATCCTCCTGCCTCAGCCATCTGAGTAGCTGGGACCGCAGGCATGCGCCACAACAACCAGCTATTTTTTAAATTTTTTGTAGAGACAAGATCTCACTATGTTGCCCAGGCTGGTTTCCAACTCCTGGGCTCAAGTGATCCTCCCACTCAAGAGGCCAGACAGTGGCTCAGGCCTGTAAAGCCAGCACTTTGAAAGGCCAAGGCAGGAGGATTCTTGATGCCAGGAGTTTGAGACAAGCCTGGGCACCGGGCAACATAGCAAGATCCTGTGTCTACAGATTTTTTTTATTTGAGACAAAATTTACCTCTGTCACCCAGGCAGGAGTACGGTGGCACAATCTTTGGTCACTGCAACCTCCACCTCCTGGATTCAAGCAATTCTCCCACCTCAGCCTCCCAAGCAGCTGGGACTACAGGCATGCACCACCATGCCTGGCTAATTTTTTTTGTATTTTTGGGCTGTCTTTACAATTTTTTTTTTTTGAAATGTAGTCTCACTCTGCTGCCCAGGCTGGAGTGCAATGGCGTGATCTCAGCTCACTGCAACCTCCGCCTCCCAGGTTCAAGTGATTTTCCTGCCTCAGCCTCCCAGGTAACTGGGATTACAGGCTTGCACCACCAGGCCTGGCTAATTTTTGTATTTTTAGTACAGACGGGATTTCACCATGTTGACCAAGCTGGTCTTGAACTTCTGACCTCGTGATCCACCCTCCTTGGCCTCCCAAAGTGCTGGGATTACAGGCATGAGCCGCTGCGCCCGGCCTACAAAATTTTTTAATTAGCTAGGCATGGTGCTGTGCACCTGTAGTCCCAGCTATGCAGGAGGCTGAGGCAGAAGGATCGCTTGAGCCTGGGAGTTCAAGGCTGCAGTGAGCTGTGACTGAGGCACAGCACTCCAGCCTGGCTGCCAGTGTGAGACCCTTCCTCCAAAAACAAAACATAACAAAATATTTAAAAGACAAAAAACATATGCAATGAGTGGACCTTTTTTCTTGGTTTTCTTCGTACCCTGATTCAAACAATCCAATAGCATAAATATAATTTTAGACATTTAGAAAAATTTAAGTAAGGACTCATTTTAGAAATCTGAATATGAGGCCGGGTGCGGTGGCTCACATCTGTAATCCCAGCACTTTGGGAGGCTGAGGCGGGTGGATCACGAGGTCAGGAGATTGAGGCCATCCTGGCTAACAAGGTGAAACCCTGTCTCTACTAAAAATACAAAAAAAATTAGCCGGAAGTGGTGGCAGGCGCCTGTAGTCCCAGCTACTCGGGAGGCTGAGACAGGAGAATGGCGTGAACCCAGGAGGCAGAGCTTGCAGTGAGCTGAGATCCCGCCACTGCACTCCAGCCTGGGTGACAGAGTGAGACTCCGTCTCAAAAAAAAAAAAAAAAAGAAATCTGAATATGGGTCCAGGCGCGGTGGCTCATGCCTGTAATCCCAGCACTTTGGGAGGCCAAGGCGGGCGGATCTCCTGAGGTCAGGAGTTCAAGACCAACCTGCCCAAGACGGTGAAAACCGTCTCTACTAAAAATACAAAAAATTAGCTGGGCGTGGTGGTGGGTGCCTGTAATCCCAGCTACTCGGGAGACTGAGCCAGGAGAATAGCTTGAACCCAGGAGGCAGAGGTTGCAGTGAGCTGAGATCACGCCATTGCACTCCAGCCTGGGTAACAAGAGCAAAACTCCGTCTCAAAAAAAAAAATTTTGAATATGGGTATTGGATGATATCAAAAGAATATTGTTAATTTTGGCTCAGGAACTCCTCCAAGTCTTTGCTGCTACATCCTCAGGCCGCAGGCTGACTGAGATGCTGCCATTCAACCTTCTTTCTCCCTCTCCTTCACTCTGGGTCAGCCTTGCATGGGTCTGATGAGGCTGATCACTGTGACTGCTCTCTCAGCCTTTCCCGGCTTCCTCCTTGTTTCCTTTCACTCTAGTGTTTCCCCCAGTAAAATACTTCAAGTGTAATCCCATCTTGCTGTCTGCTTCTCAGAAGAGCCAGACTCGTCATTTTCTAATGCTTAATCCTGCTTCATATGCCTATGTTGGTTTCCTTCTACCATTTCCGTATTTCCTTCACTTGTGTCTTTGTAACTTGCCCAGCACTCCTCCCTGAGAAGGCTGTGGTGATACGTACAAGCATCTCTCTTCAAACCAGTGTGCACATGAGGAGCCCCAATGTACACTCATTTGGTTCTTCAAATATCAGTAGACAAGATTGAGATAGATTGTAACAAATTCAAGCCATGGAAATTAGTTTATTCAAAGACTTTGCTTTTTGCATATGTCAAAATCTTATCCCAGCTGTGCCTGAAAGACTCAGGCATCAGGCAGCCATATGCCCATATTTTGACCCCTCAGTATAGAGCATAGCAAGTCAACTCACCACAGCCCTTTTCCACTGTTTGCTTGTTTGTTTTTTTGAGACGGAGTCTCACTCTGTCACCCAGGGTGGAGTGTGGTGGCGGAAGCTCTGCTCACTGCAACCTCCACCTCCAGGGTTCAAGCAATTCTCCTGCCTCAGCCTCCCAAATAGATAGGATTATTACAGGCATACGCCACCATACCCAGCTAATTTTTGCCTCTTTAGTAGAGACGGGGTTTCACCATGTTGGCCAGGCTGGTCTTGAACTCCTGACCTCAAGTGATCCACCCACCTCTGCCTCCCAAAGTGTTGGGATTACAGGCATGAGACACCACCCCCAGCCCTTTTTTGCTGTTTTTTGAAAGAGGGTCTCACTATGCTGCCCAGGCTGGACTCAAACTCCTGGGCTTAAGGGATCCTGGCTCCTCAGCCTCCTGAGTAGCTGGAATTACTCAGAAGGCTGAGTAGCGCACACCATCATGCCCATACATATGATTTCTCCCTTCACATCAGCCTGATAAAAATCCCCATAGACTCTATGAGTATTCTATCATCCCCTCCGGGAGACTGTAGAGTTTGAAATTAAAGTCAATAGGTTCCAACAGACATTTATCAAAGATAGAATTTCCACTCTGCATGTTAACCATTTGCATTTTTGTTAGGCACATGGGTCATTCTTGCCATCAGCAGATGTTTTAATTAAATAAAGAAAGAAGGGCAAAACAAACAAACAAACAAACAAAAACTCACAAATAAAGTCAATAGGTTCCAGAAACATACAATCTGTATTGAAATCCCAGTCTTACTTCTTCAAACTTTATAAACCTTCATTTCCTGGTCTGTAAATCAAGTTCTGTAACTTAGGTTTCTGCCTCATACTGTTGCTAGGATCAGAACAGTGTTTGATACTG
Organism: Homo sapiens; assembly: GCF_000001405.40. NCBI lineage: Eukaryota > Metazoa > Chordata > Mammalia > Primates > Hominidae > Homo > Homo sapiens. The sequence continues at coordinate 32,065,467 of NC_000012.12, read as the reverse complement.
ACTGGCCCGTGCTTAGAGTGCCCTCAGTGCTCACCAAGTTATTTTCACTTGGCACAGTGGAGCCGGCATCTCCACTCACTCTTTCCTGCTGTCTACCGTTGACTCCGTTCTCAGAGACTTTTCTGGGGCAGGATGATCTCCATTTGAGGGATGCCTAGGGACAGAGTACACAGGAGGTAGGACCATTGGAGAAACTCCCGGCTGAATATAGTAGGAAAGAATGCTCAGCAAGAGGCTGGTAATGGCTCCAAGGACATCTTGGCTCTTCCACATGAGAGTTTCTGTTCTCCCAGCTTCCATGTGCAAGCCACAGTAGTCAACTCCAGCTGATCTAAGATGAAAAAAAAAGTTAACTCAACAGATACTGGGTTTCTCAGAGAATTGTTTGGAAGCCTAGAGAACCACGCTCTCTAGCCAGCAGGTGCCAGAGAGGAAGTTTATTATCCCTATTTCTTCTGTCACTGGCTCCAAAGTCAAAAGAAAGACAAGAACGTTGCCAGACCTGGGTCACATGGCTGAGGCAACACAGGCTGGAAAAATCTAGTTTCTGGCAATCTCTGCCTACAACTAAGACTTTTTTTTTTTTTTTCTCAGACAGGGTCTCGCTCTGTGGCCCAGGCTAGAGTGCAGTGGTACAATCTTCACTCATTGCAGCCTCCACCACCCAGGCTCAGGTGATCCTCCCACCTCAGCCTCCTAAGTAGCTGGGTCTACAGGCACATGTCACCATGCCTGGCTAATTTTTGTATTTTTTGTAGAAATGGTTTTTTGCCATGTTGTCCAGGCTGGTCTCAAACTCCTGGGCTCAAGGTATCCACCCACTTCAGCATCCCAAAAGTTCTGGGATTACAGGCAAGAGCCACTTCCTTCCTCCTCCTTCTCTTCCTCCTTCTTCCCTCTCCTTCTTCTTCTCCTTCTCCTTCTACTCTTTCTCCTTTGTCTTCTTCCTTTTTTTGTTTGTAGAGACAGGGTTTCACTATGTTGCCCAGACTAGTCTTGAATTGCTGGGCTCAAGTGATTCTCTCACCTTGGTCTCCCAAGTGCTGGGATTACAGGTGTGAGCCACTGTGCCCAGCCTTTTATGTGAGATATCAAATGTAATTGTTTCGGTCATTTTTAATTTGGATTTTCTGTTACCGGCAACCAGAAGCATCCTAATCAATTTACTGAAGCTTAGTAAAATTGAGTAATTTGCAAGTACAAAGATTTGCATCTAGTACATCACACTACCTACCATTTCTTTCTTATATACAGAAAAGAAGCATTAACTCTTAGTGAAGAATGGTTAAAAATATAAGCTGTTACCTAGCCAGTGGAAGGTTCAAATTCCTAAGAAATGAATGCGCTCTATTAAGACAGGGTCTCACTCTGTTGCCCAGACTGGAGTGCAATAGTGTTATCATAGTTCACTGCAGCTAACCCTGGGGCTCAAGACATCCTCCTGCCTTAGCCTCCTGTGTAGCTGGGACCATAAGTGCACGCCACCACGCCTGTTTTGTGTGTGTGTGTGTGTGTGTGTGTGTGTGTTTTTGGTAGAGACAGAGTCTCACTATGTTGCCCAAGCTGGTCTCAAACTCCTGGGCTCAAGGGATACTCTTGCCTCGGCCTACCAAAGTGCTAGGATTACAGGTGTAAGCCCCTGCACCCAGCCAATGTGCAATTTTTTATTGGATTTTGAAGCAAAAAATAAAAAAAAGAAAAGCTATAAAGCAAATTGTTGGAACTAATGAGGAAATTAGAATGCAGACAATGTATTAGAAAATAGAATACCTTGTACAGTTATAAATTCTCTGTGTGAGATCAGTTTATTTGGCTATGTAGGATAATGCCCTTGCACTTAGCATCTAAAGTGAAATATTTTTATTTTAAAAGGCTAGAAAAAGGCTTTACAGCCACAAGGTTTTCTGACAGAAATGCTCTAAGAAGGGGAGGAGGGAAAGATTTCCTTCCTTCTTGGCAAATGGGAAACTCATTTTTGAAATCTACCCTTACAATAGATAAACGGATGGTGGAGGTGGGGGCGTGGAATTAAAGTAAACATGGCAAAAATTCAGTGATTGAATCTAGGAAAAATGGCATAAAGGTGTTCACTGCAGTATTCTTTCAATTATTCTAAAGGCTTGAATTTTTTTTCAAGATAAAAAATTGAGAAACAAAATACAGCATTCAAATACTTCAAAACATGAGTCTTACATAAATATCAGATAAACTGTCAAACGTGAATGTAGCTTAAAGGTTTATTTAACTCATCAATGAGGGGGACCAGCTGGATGGAAAAATTGGTTCTAAGGAGAATTTGAGGAACCACATATGTATCACCACTGGGGGAAAAACAGAACACCAGCATGTTTGCTAAATCAGATATAAGACTGGTTAAATTTAGCTTAAAATGAAAATGAAAACTGGGTGCAGTGGCTCACGCCTGTAATCCTAGCATTTTGTGGGGCCAAGGAGGGCAGATGCTGCAGCCCAGGAGTTCAAGACCTGCCTTGGCAACATGGTAAAACCACATCTCTACAAAAAATAACAAAAATTAGCCAAGCATGGTGGTGAGTGCCTGTAGTCCCAGCTACTCACTCAGGAGGCTGAGGTGGGAGAACTGCTTGAACCCAGGAGGTGGATGGAGGTTGCAGTGACCAGAAATCTCACCACTACACTCCTGCCTGTTTGACAGAGTGAGACCCTGCCAAAAAAAAAAAAAAAGAAAGGAAGAAAGAAAGAAAGAAAAAGAGAAAAGAAGAAGGAAGGAAAGGAAAGGAGAAAACTGTTACCTTTGGAGTTCCAATTGGACAGAAATCATTTACATCTTTAAAAAATATCATTACAAACTATCGGCTGGGCGAGGTGGCTGCTGCCTGTAATCCCAGCACTTTGGGAGGCAGAGGTGGGTGGATCACCTGACGTCAGGAATTTGAGACCAGCCTGACCAACATGTTGAAATCCCACCTCTACTAAAAGTACAAAAATTAGCCAGGCATGGTGGCAGGCACCTGTAATCCCAGCTATTCGGGAGGCTGAGGCAGGAGAATCACTTGAACCCGGTGGGTGGAGGTTGCAGTGAGCCGAGATCACACCACTGCACTCCAGTCTGGGCAACAGAGTGAGACTCTGTCTCACACACACACAAAAAACTATCAATCTGTTTAACATTTAACTTCATAGAGTCTGGGTCCTAATTGATTTGAGAGCAAAGACTCTCAAAGTGGTGCCCCGTGGTCCTTGGTGGGGAGGGCCCTATGCTTTCAAGAGGCCTCCAAGGTCAAATTAGTTTTATAATAATTATTATATTTAGCTTTTTAACTTCCATTCTCTCATGAGTGTAAAGTGGAATTTTCTAGAACCTACATAATATCACAACATATTGAATACAGAACTGATTAGATAATCTGTCTTCTAGTAGGTCAGATATTAACGAGATTTGCAAAAATGTAAAACAAGGGCATTCTACTCATATGTTTTATTTTTGGAAAATATAGTTATTTTTAAAATATATATTATTGGCCAGGCTCCGTGGCTCACACTTGTAATCCCAGCACTTTGGGAGGCTGAGGCGGGTGGATCACCTGAGATCAGGAATTCAAGACCAGCCTGGCCAACATGCTGAAACCCTGTCTCTACTAAAAATACAAAAATTAGCCAGATGTGGTGGCAGGCGCCTGTAATCCCAGCTACACAGGAGGCTGAGGCAAGAGAATCGCTTGAACCTGGGAGGAGGAGGTTGCAGTGAGCCAAGACGGCACCACTGCACTCCAGCCTGGGCGACAAGAGCAAGACTCCATCTCAATAAATAAATATATGTATATGTATATATATATATATGTATGTGTATATATATATATATATATATATATATATATATATATATATATATATATATATAGTTGAAGATTAACCGGAAGCAGTGGCTCACACCTGTAATCTCAGTATTTTGGGAGGCCAAGGCAGGCAGATCACTTGAGGCCAGGAGCTTGAGACCAGTCTGGGCAACATGGTGAAACCTTGTCTCTACAAAAAATACAAAAATTAGCCCAGTGTGTAATCCCAGCTACTTGGGAGGCTGAGGCAAGAGAATTGCTTGAACTTGGGAGGCAGAGGTTGCAGCGAGCCGAGATCACGCAACTGCACTCCAGCCTAGGTGACATATTTTTCTGTCTCAAAAATAATAATAAATAATAAATAAAAAATCTACTCTCCTGTTCATGGACATTTAGATTGCCCCCACTTTTTCTACAGTACAAACCATGACATCATAATTGTGTAGGAATACATAAAATATACAGCCATGTATATACATATATATACACACATACTGATATATATAGACATAGATAGATGATAGATGATAGATAGATAGATGATAGATAGATAGATAGATAGATAGATGATAGATAGATAGAAATATTGCATTATTTTTGTAGGGAAGAGTTTTTGACTCCAGTTTTCTATCCCAAATTGATTAGAAGATTTAAAATACACAAAAAAGGTGTCAGCGATTCGTGTTTGTAAAATCTCCAGCATTCCAGCCTTCCCGAAGGGGCTGGTGAGAGGAAAATAATGTCTTTGCCCCTACCACTTATCCCCAACCCCAGGCAGCCCAGACCACAGAATAATGCTGCCCTACCCCGCCCCAAGAAGCAAGGCAGGTTTAGTCCACAGCAGAGCTTTTTGGTTCAGTGACTCTCTACAGTGCTAGTACTGCCCTCTAGAGGGCAATTTGGAAATTTTTTGAAGTCTGTACCAACGATTTAGAGGGCTGGCGGGATTTGCATGTTTGCATGGGCCCGGCTGAGGCCAGCGACAGTAAACAATGTGTAGAACAGCCTCCAAAAGCAAAATTGTTCCCCAGCCCAGATAAACTTTTAGTGTCCCTCCACCCATTTATGAAGGTTAAAAACCTGTTTATAATTATCTGAGCTTAAACCTAACTTTTACTTCTTTTTTTTTTTTTTTTTTTTTTTTTTTGAGACGGAGTCTTGCTCTGTTGCCCAGGCAGGAGTGTAATGGCGCGATCTCGGCTCACTGCAACCTCCACCTCCCGGGTTCAAGCAATTCTCTGCCTCAGCTTCCCGAGGAGCTGGGACTACAGGCACCCGCCACCATGTCCGGCTAATTTTTATATTTTTAGTAGAGACGGGGTTTCACCATCTTGGCCAGGCTGGTCTTGAACTCCTGACCTCATGATCCACCCGCCTCGGCCTCCCAAAGTGCTGGGATTACAGGCATGAGCCACCGCGCCCGGCCTAACTTTTACATGTTAACAAAATATTTTTGCATAGTTTTACTAGACACTGAATTTTCCAGGAATTCAATCACTGTAGATTTGCAAATCTAGGAAATACTGTACTTTTCTTGGCTCAGGATTTTATTTACTCACCATTTTGGAAAATCATGTCTCTGAAGGAAAGCCTAATTTTGGTATTTTAGTCAGTGATACACCATAACTGTTTCTATATCCATCCCTTTTTCAGTATTTAACGGTGTTGACTAAAAGAGTCAAACTCTGTAAAACATTTTTTTTTTTTGAGAGGAGTCTTGCTCTGTCGCCCAGGCTGGAGTGCAGTGGCACGATCTCGGCTCACTGCAAACTCCGCCTCCCGGGTTCACGCCATTCTCCTGACTCAGCCTCCCGAGTAGCTGGGACTACAGGCGCCCACCACCGCACCCGGCTAATTTTTTGTATTTTTAGTAGAGACAGGGTTTTACCATGTTAGCCAGGATGGTCGCGATCTCCTGACCTCGTGATCCACCCGCCTCAGCCTCCCAAAGTGCTGGGATTACAGGCGTGAGCCACCATGCCTGGCCGGTAAAACATTTTAAGAGATTTATTCTGAGCCAAATACGAGTGACTATGGCCGGTGACGCAGCCTTCAGGAGGTCCTGAGAACATGTGCCCAAGGTGGTTGGGGCACAGCTTGGGTTTATACATTTTAGGGAGACATGAGACATCAATCAAATACATTTAAGAAATAACATTGGTTTGGTTCCAAAAGGCAGGACAAAAAGCGCGGGGGGGCTTCATAGGTAAATTTAAACATTTTCTGGTTGACAATTGGTTGAGTTTATCTGAAGGCCTGGGATCAATAGAAAGGAAATGTTCAGGTTAAGATAAAGGATTGTGGGTACCAAGTTTTATTGTGCAGAGGAAGATCTCAGATAGCAGACTTCAGAGAGAGCAGGTTGCAAAATGTTTCTTATCGGAACTAAAAGGGTGCTTGGCTCTTAGTTGATTATCTCCTGGATCTGGAAAGGAAGGAAGGACAAAAAAGGGGAAAAGGGGATTCTCTACGGAATGTGGATTTTTCCCACAAGAGATGGCTCTGCAGGGCCATTTCAAGATATGACAGAGAAACATGTTTTGAGGTAAAATATTTTTATTTTCTTCCTTGCCATGGCCAGAGTCAGATTGGAAAGTAAGTCTCAATATACAGGATTAAATAAAACCCATCTGATGAGAACTGATGATTTGTGGGGCATGACTCCCCAGACTCCTTACATAAGAATTTGGGGAAAAAAAAAAAATCAGAGCTTCGTCCTCAACATAGAGGCCCAAGCATCTCACTATTCATTATGCCTTCTGATGTTATCATATCCAAGTAATGCGACTGTTAACTACAGTCATCTCTCAGCATCAAACAGGGTGTTCCAGGGCCCCTAAGGATACCAAAAACTTGTAAATGCTCAAGTTCCTTATATAAAATGGTACAGTATTTGTATATGACTTACACACATCTTCCTCTGTCCTTTAAATCAAGCTTCTCCGGCCGGGCACGGTGGCTCACGCCTGTAATCCCAGCACTTTGGGAGGCCGAGGCGGTCGTATCACAAGGTCAGGAGATCGAGACCACGGTGAAACTCCGTCTCTACTAAAAATACAAAAAAAAATTAGCTGAGCGTGGTGGCAGGCGCCTGTAGTCCCAGCTACTGGGGAGGCTGAGGGAGGAGAATGGCGTGAACCCGGGAGGAGGAGCTTGCAGTGAGCCGAGATGGCGCCACTGCACTCCAGCCTGGGCGACAGAGCGAGACTCCGTCTCAAAAAAATAAATAAATACAAAGTAAAAAATAAAAAAAAATCAAGCTTGTTCAACCCGCGGCCCAAGACAGCTTTGAATGTGGCCCAACACAAATTCGTAAACTGTCTTAAAACATTATGAATTTTTTGCTATATATATGTATATTTAGCTTATCAGCTATCGTTAGTGTTAGTATATTTTATGTGTGACCCAAGACAATTATTTTTCTTCCAATGGGGCCCAGGGAAGCCGAAAGATTGGACACTCCTGCTTTAAATCATCTCTAGATTACTGATAACACCTAATTCAATGAAAATGCTATGTAAATAGTTGTTATGCTGTATTGTTTATTTGTATCATTTTTATTGTTCTATTGTTTTTTCAAATATTTTTCATCCACAGTTGATTGAATCCACATGGTGTGCCGACTGTATATATTATTTTTAATATAAATTATTTTACTTTTACCACTCCTGTGTGCTTCGACTGAAGCATTTTGTTGATTTTTGTATATTGTGTGTATAAGTAGTTGTATAGTGAAAAGTGTCTTACAACATATTTATTACTGAAACAAGGCACAATAAAAAGACAAGGTTTTGGCCAGGCATGGTGGCTCACGCCTGTAATCCCAACACTTTGGGAGGCCAAGGTGGGCAGATTGCCTGAGGTCAGGAATTTGAGACCAGCCTGGCCAACATGGTGAAACCCCGTCTCTACTAAAAACACAAAAATTAGCTGGGTGTGGTGGTGCACACCTGTAATCCCAGCTACTCAGTAGGCTGAAGCAGGAGAATCACTTGAAACCGGGAGGCGGAGATTGCAGTGAGCCGAGATCATGCCATAGCACTCCAGCCTGGGTGACAGAGCAAGACTCCGTCTCCAAAAAAAAAAAAAAAGACAAGGTTTTATGATCCTGAGCAGAACAGTTTACCTTCCTATTGCTTGTGTCAACGAAAAGAGTCAAACTCTGTAAAATATTCTAAGAGATTTATTTTGAGCCAAATATGAGTGACCATGGTCTGTGACACAGCCTTCAGGAGGTCCTGAGAACATGTGCCCAAGGAGGTTGGTTGGGGTGCAGCTTGGGTTTATACATTTTAGGGAGGGCATGAGACATCAATCACATACATTTGAGAAACAGATTGGTTTCGTCCAGAAAGGTGGGACAATTCAAAGCAAGGTTGGGGTAGGGGGCTTCCAGGCTATAGGTAAATTTAAACATTTTCTGGTTTACAATTGGTTGAGTTTGTCTAAAGACCTGGGATTGGCCGGGCGCGGTGGCTCACGCCTGTAATTCCAGCACTTTGGGAGGCCAAGGCGGGTGGATCACAAGGTCAGGAGTTCAAGACCATCCTGGCCAAGATGGTGAAACCCTGTCTCTACTAAAAATACAAAAATTAGCTAGGCACAGGGCAGGTGCCTGTAATACCAACTACTCGAGATGCTGAGGCAGGAGAATCACTCAAACTCGAGGGGGCAGAGGTTGCAGTGAGCCAGGATCACGCCAGTGCACTCCAGCCTGAGCAACAGAGTGAGACTCCATCTCAAAAAAAAATAAATAAATAATAAATAAAAATTTAAAAAGACCTGGGATTAATAGCAAGGAAATATTCGGGTTAAGAAAAAAGATTATGGAGATCGAGGTTCTTTTGAAGTTTCACAGTGGCTGCCCTTAGAGACAATAGATGGCAAATATTTCCTATTCAGACCTTTAAAAGGTGCTAGACTCTTAGTTAATTTCTTCAGGATTGAGAGGGCCTGGAAGGAAAAGATCTAGCTATGTTAACAGAGATTCTTTACACATGCAAAATTTCCCCCACAAAGGATGGCTTGCAGGGCCATTTCAAAATATGGCAAAGAAACATGTTTTGGGATAAAATATTTTGATTTTCTTCTTTGTCACGTAATGTTATGCCTGAGTCAGATTGGAAAGTAAAACACGATATATAAGGTTAAATAAAACCCATCTGATGAGAATTTATAGTTTGTAGGGCATGACTCCCCAGATCTCTTAGACAGGAATTTGGGCAAAAAAAAAAAAATCAGAGCTGGGTCCTCACTTCAAATGTCTCCTTTTTAAAATAGGACTTTGCCTTCACTTTTTCACAATCAAAAGGCCTATTGAAGTGATTTTCTTTTCTTTCTTTCTTTCTTTCTTTTTTTTTTTTTTTTGAGAAGGAGTCTCCCTCTGTCACCCAGACTGGAGTGCAATGGCACCATCTCGGCCCACTACAACCTCTGCCTCCCAGGTTCAAGTGATTCTCCTGCATTAGCCTCCTGAGTAGCTGGGATTACAGGGACACACCACCATGCTCGGCTAATTTTTTTGTATTTTTAGTAGAGACAGGGTTTCACCATGTTGGTCAGGCTGGTCTCAAGCTCCTGACCTCATGATCCGCCCACCTCAGCCTCCCAAAGTGCTGGGATTACAGGTGTGAGCCACCGTGTCTGGCCAAAGTGATTTTCTTAAAACCAAAGAGTCCCCAAAACAAATTCACATGTTTCCCTCTAGCAACTATTAACATGTCTTATTTCTCTTTCTCCCCTGCCTTCAATCTTCGCATATCTAGGATATCTTCCTTAGATTGGACTTACAGTTCTCCTCTTGGCCAGGCACGGTGGCTCACGCCTGTAATCCCAGCACTTTGGGAGGCCAAGGAGGGCAGATCACGAGGTCAGGAGATCCAGACCATCCTGGCTAACACGGTGAAACCCCGTCTCTATTAAAAATACAAAAAATTAGCTGGGCATGGTAGCAGGCGCCTGTAATCCCAGCTACTCAGGAGGCTGAGGCAGGAGAATGGTGTGAACCCGGGAGATGGAGCTTGCAGTGAGCTGAGATCGTGCCACTGCACTCCAGCCTGGGCGACAGAGTGAGACTCTGTCTCAAAAAAAAAAAAAAAAAAAGAGTTATCTAAAAGAAGAACCCTTCACAGTCACACATTTGATTTCCTCACAAAATGTGAAGGTGAGGGCTAGGTTCCATTCATTGCAGTAGCTTCTGGTACATAGTATGTGTTCAGTAAACACTGGTTGAATTAAAACTTAGAGAATTGGAACCAAAAGACAATTGGAACTGAAGACAATGGAAACAGAAAAACTATATATTAAAGGTTCTCAAGTGTTGGTCAGAAAAAGTATGCAAAACTTGGAAATAAGGCAAAAAGCTAAATAGCACATCCTTTTGTTACAGGAAAGGAGTCCTGATCCAGATCCCAAGAGAGGGTTCTTGGATCTTGCATAAGAAAGAATTCAGGGCAAGTCAGTAGAGTACGGTGAAAGCAAGTTTATTAGGAAAGTAAAGGAATAAAAGAATGGCTACTTCATGAACGGAGCAGCCCCGAGGGCTGCTGGTTGCCCATTTTTATAGTTATTTATTGATGATATGCTAAACAAGGGGTGGATTATTCATGTTTCCCCTTTTTAGACCACATAGGGTAACTTCCTGACGTTGCCATGGCATTTGTAAACTGTCATGGCACTGGACGGAGTGTAGCAGAGAGGACAATCAGAGGACACTCTTGTTGCCATCTTGGTTTTGTTGGGTTTTAGCTGGCATCTTTACTGCAGTCTGTTTTATCAGCAAGGTCTTTAAGACCTGTATTTTGTGCCAACCTCCTACCTCATCCTGTGACTTAGAATGCCTTAACCATCTGGGAATGCAGCTCAGTAGGTCTCAGCCTCATTTTACCCAGCCCCTATTCAAGATGGAGTTGCTCTGGTTCACATGCTTCTGACAATTTCACTTTCATGCAGTGGCAAAGATCATCATAGGGTTGTCTAGAGTGAGGGCCAACGAACTTTATTTGTAAAAGTTGGTCACAACCCTCAGGCTCCACTGTGCCACGGACCCTGGTGGACTGAACAAAGGAGGACGAATGCGGGAATAAAGACAAAGACAAACAAGTATATTTGGAAGAAGGGGTCAGGGGTCTCCTTGCTTCTAGTGAACAAGGGCTCTGAGCTTCTATAGCCCTTTGTATTTATTGAGTAAAGGAAATAATGAGGAGGGGGTGGTTGTCAGTCAGCTGTTTCACTTAGTGCAGGCCTGCATAACTGCTTTCTTTGAACAGTAGGCTCCAGATGTTCCAGTAGATAACCTCAAGGAGCACGGCGCCAGGGAGTGATTGCCCTCAGCATACCTTCTGGTGGCAGGTGCAGATGTGAGTTTCCCCACATCCTGCATTCGTGATAAACAGTTTGCTCTTTTATCATATAGCCTCCAGTGGAGTGCTGAGTTGGTCATGACCCTCAGGCTTTCCCCAGCATGTAAAGGTTCACATAGTAAATTTCTCAGGCTCTAAGTCATAGTAAATTTCTCAGGCTCTGAGTCAGGTAGAAACCCTGTCTCTACTGTGAGCTTTAGGATTTCTGTGTTGAGAACTCAAGTCTAAATCTGTGGACTTTAGAATCTCTGCTGTGTGTACTCAGGACTGCCATTGTGGCACAAAAGCAGTCATGGACAATAAGCAAAGGAAGAAATAGGCTGGGCTCCAACAAAACTTTATTTACAAAATATGTGGGCTGGATTCAGCCAGAGGATCATAGTAACGTAAAGTTTATCCCATTATTTACTATTGATTAAGGGTCCCAGAATTCGTGAAATTACTTGTTAACTTGAAGATTTTTGTCAGGAAGAAATGCAAATAACTTCTGTTGGTGGGACAGATACAGGTCACACATTGCTTAACAGCAGGGAGAAATGCGTGAGGTGATTTTGTCCTCGTGCAAACCTTATAGAGTGTGCTTACACAAACCTAGATGATACAGCCTACTATATATGGAATAGCAAATTGCTCCTAGGTTACAAACCTGTACAGTGTGTTAGTATGCTAAATACTGTAGGCAATTGTAGCACAATGGTAAGTAATTGTGTATCTAAACATAAGTAGGTACGGTAAAAATATGGTATAAAAGATAAAAAATGGTACACCTGTATAGGACATGTTTACCAAAATTAAGGCTGTTGGGGCACAAATAATTTGATAAAGGTTTATTGGGGCCAAGTATGGTGGCTCACACCTGTAATCTCAGCATTTTGAGAGGCAGAGGTGGGCAGATCACTTGAGGTCAGGAGTTCAAGACCAGCCTAGCCAAATGGCAAAACCTGTCTCTTTTAAAAATACAAAAATTGGCCAGGCGCGGTGGCTCACACCTGTAACCCCAGCACTTTGGGAGGCCGGGGCAGGCAGATCACAAGGTCAGGAGTTCGGGACCAGCCTGGGCAAGATGGCGAAACCTGTCTCTACTAAAAATACAAAAATTAGCTGGGCATGGTGGCACAGCGTATAATCACAACTACTCGGGAGGCTAAGGAAGGAGAATCTCTTGAACCCGGGAGGTGGAGGTTGCAAGGAGCCGAGATGGTGCCACTGCACTCCAGCATGTGCGACAGATGTGAGACACCATCTCAAAAAAAAAAAAAAAAATTGGCTGGGCGTGGTGGTGCGTGTCTATAATCCCAGCTACTCAGGAGGCTGAGGCTCGAGAAATCACTTGAGCCTGGGAGGCAGAGGTTGCTGTGAGCTGAAATCGTGCCACTGCACTCCAGACTGGGAACAGAGCAAGAATCTGTCTCCAAAAAACAACAACAACAACAAAAAACGGTTTATTGGAAGCCAAATGGTGTGAACATCACAGAGTGTACTTATGTTCACGGAACCAAGCCGGGTCCAGCTACGTTTTCTCAGGGCCCAATAACAAGAAGCAGAAAAACTAGGAAAGAAGAGAATTTATTGCTGTAACCAGTTACAGGGAGCAGGCTGGAGATAATTCCACAAGACCAACTCAAAGTGTTACAATTTTCTTCATGATTATATAGGTTGGGGTTATATGCCCACATGCAGTATAGCATTCACCTAAGTCTATTGGTAACTAATTTTGTTTCAACTAGAAGGTCAGAGGCAAACTAATGCTTACTAAGTCTGATTAAAAGGGCCTCAGTACCTTCAAGGCCTGTGTACTGTGGTACCAGAGTGATTATTTCTATCTTATCTCCTTTACAGCTTGGTCTGGAGTGCTGCCTTAGACTCTCCAATGAATTTACTCAAACAGCTCTGTTACCTTGACTGTCTCAGATTTCGTTGACCCGAGATGGGTCCTGCACTAGGAATGAAAGACTGTATTATTTTGGTTTGCTCCAGGTTAGGGAGAAGCCCACGCAAGGCTCCTACTGACCATACGTTTCATTTCTAGCTTTGCTGTCTGGGTGCCGATTTTGCTAGGTTTAACTATTTGCTCAATGTTAAGGCAGCTCTGTGGAAATCTGTGTAACTGGAGTGCTATGCAGGCCTGTCTGTGTGATTGTCAGGGAGAATTGGCCTGCCACACTTACACAAATCTAGGTGGTCTAGCCTACCATACACCTAGGCTATATGTATGGTTGACCTGGGAAGACACGCTAACAAAGTTGGGAGTGTTCTGGAGTCTGCTACAAGTTGGAAGGCTTTTATGGGAAAGTTTAGAAGAAGGGAGGACTCCTGACAGCACAACCATCCTTTTCACTGGAGGTACAACACAGAGGTTACAATCATTGGCTACAGACTGCAATATAAAGGCTAAAATATCGACATTTGATTCAAAAGTGAGTCAGAGTCCTCTTCAGTGTCAGGAGGTTGTGCATTAATCAGTACTTGACAATTTGAGGAACTCACAATAAGATTCGTTACTCAGGGACAAGATGTTTGCATGAATCACAAGCCCTCCCTCAGGCTGTTAATTTAGAAGCCTATTTACTTTAAAGTCAACTGCCCAAAAGTGCCCTGTAGTTTATCAGGCACTTACTATGAATGGAGCTTGCAGCACTGGAGGTTGCCTGGGTGAGTCACTGAGTGGTGATTGAATGTGAAAGCCTGCAACATTACGGTGCACTACTGTAGATTATAACCACTGGACACTTAGGCTATGCTACATTTATTATTTATTTATGGATGGATTATTTTATTTTATTTTTGAGACAGGGCCTAGCTCTCTCACCTGGCTGGAGTGCAGTGGTGCGATCACAGCTCACTGCAGCCTTGACCTCCCTAGGCTCAAGAGATCCTCCCACCTCAGCCTCCCAAATAGCTGGGACCACAGGCACCCGCCACCATGCCCGGGTAGTTTTTAAATTTTTTGTAGAGACGAGGTTTCACCATGTTGCTCAGGTGGGGCATTTATTTTTAAACATTTTTTAATTTTTTGTGAGGTCTCACTCTGTCTCCCAGGCTGGAGTGCAGTAGTGTGATCATGGCTTACTGCAGCCTCGACTTCCTGGGCTCAAGCAATCCTCTTGCCTCAGCCTCCCAAGTAGCGGGGACCACCGACATCAGCCAACACACACAGCTAACTTTTTGTAATTTTTGTAGAGATGGGGTCTCACTATGTTGCCCAGACTGGAAAACATTTTCTTAAATAATAAATCTTAGCTTACTGTAGCTTTTTTACTTTTTAAACTTTAAAATTTTTAAAAACTTTTGACTCTTTTGTAATAACACTTAGCTTAAAACACAAACACATTGGCCGGGTGCAGTGGCTCACACCTGTAATCCCAGCACTCTGGAAGGCCGAGGTGGGCAGATCACAAAGTCAGGAGTTCGAGATCAGCCTGGCCAGCATAGTGAAACCCGTCTCTACTAAAAATACAAAAATTAGCAGGGTGTGGTGGCACACACATGTAATCCCAGCTACTCAGGAGGCTGAGGCAGGAGAATTGCTTGAACCCAGGAGGTGGAGGTTGCAGTGAGCCGAGATCATGCCTCTGTACTCCAGCTTGGGCGATAGAGCAAGACTCTGTCTCAAAAAAAAAAAAAAAAAAAACCCACAAACACATTGTACAGTGATACAAAAATATTTCCTTTCTTTATATCCTTAATCTATAAGCTTTTTTTATTTTTTAAACTTTTTTTGTTCAAAACTAAGATGCAAACACACACATTAGTCTAGGCCTACTTATACTCAGGATCATCAATATCACTGTCTTCCACCTCTACGTCTTGTCCCACTAGAAGGTTCAGGGACAATAACATGCATGGAGCTGTCATCTACTATGATAACAATGCCTTCTGGAACACCTCCTAAAGGACCTGCCGGAGGCTATTTTGCAGTTAACTTTTTTTTTTTAAATAAGTAGGAGTATACTCTAAAATAACAACAAAGAATAGAGTAAGTACATAAACCAGTAACATAGTCTTTTATTATCATTATAAAGTATTATGGACTGTACATAAGTGTGCCTGCTATACTTTTATATGACTGGCAGCACAGCAGGTTTGTTTACACCAGCATCACCACAAACACACCAGTAATCCAGTATGCTATGACGTCAGAATAGCCACAGTGTCACTAGGCAATAGGAATGTTTTAGCTCCATTATAAGCTTACAGAACTGCTGTCATATATACAGTCTGCCATTGATCAAAATGTTGTTATTCAGTGCATGACTGTAACTCCCGATTTGTGGCTTGTTGGACATTAACATTTAATTCACTATCTTAGGGTTCTCCAGAGAGACAGAATCAATGGGACATGATAGATATAGATCAGATAGATGATATAGATATAAATATAGATATAGGAAAAAGGATTTATTAGAGGGATTGGCTCTCAATTATGGAGGCTGAGAAGTTCCATCACAGGCCATCTGCGAGCTGGAGACCTTGGGATGTCAGTAGTGTGGTTCAGCCCAAGTGTGAAAGCCTCGGAACCAGGGAAACTGATGGTATAACTTCAATCTGAGGCCAAAGGCCTGAGAACTCCAGGGGCCGCTGATGTAAGTCCTAGAGTCCAAAGGCCCGGGAGCCTGGAATTGTTGTCCGAGGACAGAAGAAGAAAAGTGCATCCCAGCTCTGGCAGACAGATGGACACATTCTCCCTTTCTGTTCTTGTTCTCTCTGGGCCCCCAGCAAGTTGGACCGTGCCCACACACATTGAGGGGAATCTTCCCCACTTAGTCCACTCAGACTCATATGGTAGTCTCCTCTGGAAACATCCTCACAGACACACCCAGAAACAATGCTTTACTAAGTTTCTAGATATTCCTTAATCCAGTCAAACTGACACCTAAAATTAACCATCACACTCATGGCTTGTCCTAGAAATCTTCTTGTTTCTCAAATGCTCTTTGAACTGGTCACTGCATCTTTACTGGTTCCCTCATTAATCGGTGAGCTAAGTAAAATCTTTGACACATTTCATTGCATATTTGCCAGACAGCCACATTGTTACCTTCTTGAAAACTATACTTTAACATGTCTCATAAGTACAAAAATATAGACTCTAGACCCAGGTCTTTCCCACTATCATGGGAAGGGGACCAGTGGTTGTACGTTCTGCATTTCACTAATTTTGAAAGTCTGGTTCAACACTATGAAATAGTGATGTGAAGCAGTGGTCCCCAACCTATTTGGCACCAGGGACCAATTTCGTGGAAGACAGCTTTTCCATGGACTGGTGGTGGGGTGGGGATGGTTTCAGGATGAAACTGTTCCACCTCAGATCATCAGGCATTAGATTCTCATAAGGAGTGTGCAACCAAGATCCCTCACATGCACAGTTCACAATAGGGTGCACGCCCCTATGAGAATCTAATGCCACTGCTGATCTGACAGGAGGCGGAGCTCAGGCAGTAATACTCCCTCGCCCACCACTCACCTCCTGCTGTGTGGCCCCATTCCTAACAGGGTTTGGGGACCCTTGATGTAAATAACTGTTGTTGTTGTTGTTGTTGTTGTTGTTGTTTTTGAGACAGAGTCTTACTCTGCTGCCCAGGCTGGAGTTCAGTGGCATGATCTCGGCTCACTGCAACCCCTGCCTCCAGGTTGAAGCTATTCTCCTGCCTCTGCCTCCCAAATTGCTGGTATTACAGACGCGTGCCACCATGCTCAGCTAATTTTTGTATTTTTAGTAGAGATGGGGTTTCACCATGTTGGCCAGGCTGGTCTCGAACTCCTGACCTCAGGTGATCCACCTGCCTCGGCCTCCCAAACTGCTGGGATTACAGGCATGACCCACTGCGCCTGGCCAAGAACTGCTTCTAAGTTCAGTTTATTTCAAATCTTGGTGGATACATGGCTGTAATAACCAGAACAGACATTTCATGAAACCTCTTCATACACAACAATTAGGGTGAGGCTCATAGTAACAATAATATAAATCCGTATTTCAAACAGTGTTGGTAATTTTGAATGTTTTGACCAACTTCTAATAAACTATGTTAGATTTTTATTATATTTTCTTGTCAAATAGTAGACAAAGGGCTTCTACGCCTGTAGGAATAGATGTCAGTGTTGTCAAACAGCTCCTTGTTTGCCGCCACATGCATTATTAGAGTTATCTTGAAAACCAGCAGTTTCTCTGTAGGAGTCTTTTAAAGCCACTTATCTGTTGTGTAAAGATAGGTTTAGTTGAAACTAGATCATTCCATCTGCCTTTAACCAGGCACTCCTAACCTGTAATATGCTGCACTCTGAAGGGGTTCAGGGAGGAAAGTCACCACAATGTGACGCTTCTGTTCTTCCCCGAGGAGGTGACACATAACGGTGACATAGATTCAGAGTGACAAATCCAGTGCATACTCTATAATCAATGTCAGTAAAGTTTAAATTCTTGCTTTTTTAAATAAAAATAAAATGGACTAGGAATTCTGGTCTTCCTGCATCTCAGAGGCCTCACTTGCACTTTCCCCGGATTTCTTGCACAGCCCACTGGAGTCTGACAAAAGGATACCCTTTCAAGTCTGAAGTTTGGCAGTCACTAAGTGGGCCCCGCCACTGTGGCAGCGGCACCCCATGACTGTGAGATCCATTTTGCAAAGATAAATAAAACACTTCTAAGAGTAACTGGGAATAACTGAAGGCAGGAAGTTACAGTCTCTGCTCAGTGACACATAGGTCTTTCTTCCTCCTGACCACTGAGCACTGTTGACCTTTATCTGAGACCCTGCACCTCTGGAAAGCAGTGATAATCAGGCAGGCATGGTGGCTCATGCCTGTAATCCCTGCACTTTGGGAGGCCAAGGCAGGTGGATCACGAGGTCAGGAGTTTGAGACCAGCCTGGCCAACATGGTGAAACCCTGTCTCTACTAAAACAATAAAATAAAATAAAATAAATTATCATGGCTTAGTGGTGGGCGCCTGTAATTCCAGCTACTTGGAAGGCTGAGGCAGGAGAATTGCTTGAACCCAGGAGGCAGAGGTTGCAGTGAGCTGAGATGGCACCACTGCACTCCAGTCTGAGCAACAGAGTAAGACTCTGTCTCAAAAAAAATTTGTTTGGCCGGGTGCTGTGGCTCATGCCTGTAACCCCAGCACTTTGGAAGGCCAAGGCAGGTGGATCGCTTGAGGCCAGGAGTTCAAGGCCAGCCTGACCCATATAGTGAAACCCTGTCTCTACTAAAAATAAAAAAATTAGCCGGGCATGATGGCACGTGCCTGTAGTCCCAGCTACTCAGGAGGCTGAGGCAGGAGAATCACTTGAACCAGGGAGGTGGAGGTTGCAGTAAGCCGAGATCACACCACTGCACTCCAGCTTCAGCAACAGAGTGAGATTTTGTCTCAAAAAAAAAAAAAATTTTTTTTTTTTGGCCGGGTGCAGTGGCTCATGCCTGTAATCCCAGCACTTTGGGAGGCCAAGGCAGGCAGATCACCTGAGGTCGGGAGTTTGAGACCAGCCTCACCAACATGGAGAAACCCCGTCTGTACTTAAAAAAATACAAAATTAGTTGGGCGTGGTGGCGCACACCTGTAATCCCAGCTACTCAGGAGGCTGAGGCAGGAGAATTGCCTGAACCCAGGGGGCAAAGATTGCAGTGAGCCGAGATCGTGTCATTGCACTCCAGCCTGGCAACAAGAGCAAAAAACTCCAAAACAAAACAAAAACAAAATCAAAAAAATTTAAGTAAAATAAAATAAAGACAGAAAGAGGCCAGGCATGGTGGCTCACGCCTGTAATCTCAGCACTTTGGGAGGCTGAGGTGGGCAGATCACGAGGTCAGGAGATCGAGACCATCCTGGCTAACACAGTGAAACCCCGTCTCTACTAAAAATACAAAAGAAATTAGCCAGGCATGGTGGCGGGCACCTGTGGTCCCAGCTGCTGGGGAGGCTGAGGCAAGAGAATGGTGTGAACCCAGGAGGTGGAGCTTGCAGTGAGCTGAGATTGTGCCACTGCACTCCAGCCTGGGCGACAGAGTGAGACCCTGTCTCAAAAAAATAAAATAAAATAAAATAAAATAAAGAAGACAGAAAGAAAATGTATTTATTTAAAAAGAAAAGAAAGCAGCGATGATAAAGCACCCTGCACCCCCAGTACCCCCACCCCCAACCTGAACCCCATGCAACCCCCATCCTCCACCACCTTTTGTTTTTCAAAATCCCCCATTCTTTTGTGTTCTTGGAGAAGACTTGCTCAGAGAACCATCCTTCTGCATAGGACATAGGTACAACTCACCGTCCACTCTCTTGTGACCCCACGGTTCTCAGGGTTGGCTCCCTTGTTCATCTGCAACAAGGCCAAACACAAATCCTCCAATTTCCCATTCTTTGCTGTAGTTGACTAGCTAAGATTAGAACAATTTGTTTCCCTGAGAATAATATTTCTGGTTCAGCTAAGTGACAGACAGTTCTGCATACAAAACAACCCCAACTGCATATCACCCCACTTCAGCTTGTTTACTCCTCTCTATATAAGTCTAGGGCAAAAGCACCCTGCTGAGATCCTCTGATCTTTGCCTCTCAAGTGTTCTTTAATCAATCTGCCTACTTCTCTGGGTTTTGTCTTTGACACAACCCTCGATTTCTCTTTGAAGAAGTGTCACCTTCACCAAACCCAAGTGTGTCCTCCAGATAGATTACTGCTCACCCTGCATAATGCCTCCCAGGTAAACCTTCTCCCCTAAAAGAGAAATACCTCTTTTTTTTTTTTTTTAAGACAGTCTTGCTCTATTGCCCAGGCTGGAGTGCAGAGTGCAGTGGCTCAATCATGGCTCACTGCAGCCTCATCCTCCCAAGCTCAAATGATCCTCCCACCTCAGTCTCCTGAGTAGCTGAGACTACAGGCAAAGGCCACCACACCCAGCTAGTTTTATTATTATTATTATTATTATTATTATTATTATTATTATTATTGAGACTGAGTCTCACTCTGTCTCCCAGGCTGGAATGCAGTGACCCAATCTCGGCTCATTGCAGCCTCTGCCTCCCGGGCTCAAATGATTCTCCTACCTCAGCTTCCCAAGTAGCTGGGATTACAGGTGCACGCCACCATACACAGTTAATTTTTATATTTTTAGTAGAGACAGGGTTTTGCCATGTTGGCCAGGCTGGTCTCAAACTCCTGACCTCAGGTGATCTGCCTGCATTGGCCTCCCAAAGTGCTGGGATTACAGGCATGAGCCACTGTGCCCGGCCCCAGCTAAATGTTTATTTTTTGTAGAGATAGGATTTTGCTATGTTGCCCAGGCTGGTCTTGAACTCCTGGGCTCAAGCAAACTGTCTGCCTTGGCTTCCTAAAATGCTAGGATTACAGGCATGCCCAGCCTTCTCTTCATTTTTAAAACTCAAACTTCATAGAACATATGTATCTCTCAATATAACATTTCTGGCTAACAATTCTATAGAAAAGTCACAAAATTTTTACATCCTAAACATGATACAATATTTTTCAAAAAATGAAATGCAAGAAAGGCCTTTTATTCCAAATATTATTGCTATTTCTTCAGAGTCTGTTGAGGCAATCCTCAACATTGTATCTGCCCCAAAGGATGTGTTGAAGTCCTAACCCCTGGTACCTGTGAATGTGACCTTACTTGGAAATAGTCTTTGCAGATGTAATTAAGATTTAAGTTAGAATGAGGTTATACTTGAGTACTATATTTGGTCCATTTTGCATTGTATAAAGGAATAGCTAAGGCTGGGTAATTTACAAAGAAAAGAAGTTTAATTGCCTCACAGTTCTGCAGACTGTACAAGAAGTGTCAGAGATGATAAATTCCTCTTCAAAAAGCTTTCGTTCCCTGTTCTTTGTTTCTTAAAACCAACTTCCTTGTACTTCCTTGTCTCCTAGCTACCTGTTCTGTAAACAACCTTCCTGCCTTTGCCATGCCCAGACAAGTCCAGATATGCCTTCCCGCCTAGTAACAGACTCTTTTCCCACCTAGTAACGGACTCTTCACCTAATAGACCCTATTCAATTTTAAACCTTAGCCAATCGAGTTAGCTTAGATTGTGAGGTCCAACCCCAGCCAATGGGGAAAGGACACAGAAGTGCTAGGAACTGCATTAGAGATAAAAACCCCTTTCCTACCCTGCTCGGTGTGCTCTTGCGATAATGACTGGCGCAAGCTGCACCCTTCTGCAGAAGAAAATTTGCCTTGCTGAGAAATCTTGTGTTTGAGTGCTCATTTTCTTTACGACTCTGAGCTTTTATTTCTAACAGAACAAGGTGCCAGTGTCTGTTTCTGGGGAAGCCTCAGGAAGCTTCCAATCATGGTGGAAGGCAAGGAGAGCCAGTGTGTCACATGGCGAGAGATTTTAACAATCAGATTGCACATTAACTAATAGAGCAAGAACTCATTCATTACTGTAAGGAGGGCATCAAGCCATTCATGAGGGATCTGTCCCCATGACCCAAACATCTCCTACTAGGCCCCACTTCCAACACTGGGGGTCACATTTCAATTTGAGATTTGGAGGGGACAAATATTCAAACTATATTAAGTAGTATGGACTCAATCCAATATGACTGCTGTCCTTATGAGAAGCAGAGAAGAGACACGGAGACAGACCCAGGAAGAATGCTATGAGGCAATGGAGACAGTGATTAAAGTGCTGTATCAACAAGCATTTACTGGCAACACCAGAAGCTAAAAGTAAGGCATGGAACAGATTTCTTCCCTGGAGCCTTCAGAAGGAGCATGGCCCTGCCAAGACCTTGATTTTGGACCTCTGACTTCCAGAACTGTAAGATAATACATTTTCTGTTTTTTTAACCCACCCAGTTTGTGGTGCTTTGTTATGGCAGCTCTAGAAAGCTAATATAGAGTCCCTATGAACGTTTTGGAAAATTGTGGCGCGATCAACAAAAGGGGCTGGGCACAGTGGCTCACGCCTATAATCCCAGCATTTTGGGAGGCTGAGGCCAGAGGATCACTTGAACCCAGGTGTTTGAAATAAGCCTGAGCAACATAGTGAGACCCTGTCTATACAAAAAATACAAAAATTAAGGCTGGGTGCAGTGGCTCATGCCTGTAATCCCAGCACTTTGGGAGGCCAAGGTGGGTGGATTACCTGAGATCAGGAGTTCACGACCAGCCTGGCCAACATGGTGAAACCCCATCTTTACTAAAAATACAAAAAATTGGCCAGGAGTGGTGGCTCACGCCTATAATCCCAGAATTTTGGGAGGTTGAGGTAGGTGGATCACCTGAGGTCAGAAGTTCAAGACCAGCCTGACCAACACGGTAAAACCCCATCTGTACTAAAAATACAAAATTAGCCAGGCGTGGTGGTGGGCACCTGTATTCCCTGTTACTCAGGAGGCTGAGGCAGGAGAATTGCTTGAACCCAGGAGGAGGAGGTTGCCACTGCACTCCAGCCTGGGTGACAGAGTGAGACTCTGTCTCAAAAAATAAAAATAAAAATAAAAATAATTAGTTGGGTGTGGTGGCCTGAGCTTGTAGTCCCAGCTACTCTGGAGGCTGAGGTAAGAGAATCGCTTGAGCCCAGGAGGCAGAGGTTGCAGTGAGCTGAGATTGCACCACTGCACTCCAGCCTGGGTGACAGGGCGAGACTCTGTCTCAAAAAAAAAAGAACAAAAATTAGCTGGGTGTGGTGGAGCACGTGTGTAGTCCAGCTACTCAGAAGGCTGAGGTGGGAGGATCACTGGAGCCTGGGAGGTCAAAGCTGCAGTAAGCCATGATCACGCCACTGCCCTCAAGCCTGGGTGACATAGTAAGACCCTGTCTTAAAAAACAAAACACGAAACAGGCTTGGTGCGGTGGCTCACGCCTGTAATCCCAGCGCTTTGGGAGGCCGAGGCAGTTGGATGGCTTCAGCTCAAGAGTTCAAGACCAACCTAGGAAACAAGGTGAAACTCTGTCTCTACAAAGAATTCAAAAATCTAGCCAGGCATGGTGGTACACTTCTGTAGTCCCAGCTACTCAGGAGGCTAAAGCTGGAGGATCGATTGAGCCAGGAGGTAGTGGCTGCAGTGAGCCACGATCATGCCACTGTGCTCCAGCCTGGGCAACAGAACAAGACACTGTCTCAAAACCAAAAAACAACAAACAACAACAAAAGGGGTGCAATAGGCCAGGTGCTGTGGCTCATACCTATAATCCTAGCACCATGGGAGGCCGAGGCAGGAGGAGCCCTTGAAGCCAGGAGTTCAAGGCCAGCCTGGACAACAAAGCAAGACCCTGTCTCTACCAAATAAACCAAAAGACAAAAAAACAAAATGAAACAAAACAAAAGGGGTGCAACACAGGACCACTGGTGGTGTCAAAGGAAAAATTGCACTGAACAACGTTGAAACTTTAGGCAAAGTTAAACTGCAGGAGGGGAGAGGGCCAGAACTAAGTATGAACTAAACTGCTCATCAGAAGGGATAGGTTTTGTTTGTTTGTTTGTTTGTTTGTTTGTTTTTGAGGCGGAGTCTCTCTCTGTCGCCCAGGTGGAGTGCAGTGGCGGGATCTCGGCTCAGTGCAACCTCTGCCTCCCGGGTTCAAGTGATTCTCCTGCCTCTGCCTCCAGAGTAGCTGGGACTACAGGTGCCCACCACCACGCCCAGCTAATTTTTTGTATTTTTAGTAGAGACGGGGTTTCACTGTGTTAGCCAGGTTGACGTCGATCTCCTGACCTCGTGATCTGCCTGCCTCTGCCTCCCAAAGTGCTGGGATTGCAGGCATGAGCCACCGCACCCGGCCCAGAAGGGATAGGTTTTAAAGGATTGGGTGAATTAGTACTGAAGGACATAAGGGAAGTCACAGGCCATTTGTGTTTGCCGTTGGCTTTTTATAATTTGATGTCTTTATGGGGTACGGAGTGATGTTGTAATATATGTAAACAATGTGAAATTATTAAATCAAGCTAATTAACATACCCATTACCTCAATACTCATCTTTTTTTTTTTTTATTTTTTTAGAGAGACAAGTTTTCACTCTGTTGCCCAGATTGGAGTGCAGTGGCACCATTATAGCTTACTGTAACTTTGAACTCCTGGGCTCAAGCCATCCTCCCACCTCAGCCTCCTGAGTAGCTAAGACTACAGGCACACACCATCACGTCTGTCTAATTTTTTTAATTTTCTATAGAGACAGGGTTTCACTATGTTGCCTAGGCTGGCCTTGAACTCCTGGCCTCAAGTGATCTGCCTGCCTTGGCATCCCAAAACTCTGGGATAACAGGTGTGAGCCACCATGCCCAGCCAATACTCATCATTTTTTTGGTAGGAAGAGCATTTGAAATGTATTCACTTAGCATTTTTGGAATATACAGTACATTATTATTAACTATAGTTCTCATACTGTGCAATAGATCTCAAAAAAATATTCCTCCTGTCTAACTGAAATGTTGTACCCATTGACCAACATTTCCCCATTTCCTCGCTCCCAGCCCCTGGTAACCACCATTTTATTCTCTACTTCTATGAGCTTGATTGTTTTAGATTCCACATACATGTGAGATCCTGCAGTATGTGTCCTTCCCTGCCTGGCTTTTTTTCATTTAGCATAGTTCTCCAGGTTCATCTATGTTGTCGCAAATGGCAGAAATTCCTTTTTTTGAAAGGCTAAATAAAATTCCATTGTGTATTTGCTAGTAGGCTTTCTCCAAAGGAATTATAGCCTCTGCTGTCCTCCATGGGAGATAGCACCAGAAGTGGGCATCTGCCACTGGAAGAGGGTCCTCACCAGAACTTGGCTGTGCTGGGACCCTGCTCTCAGACACGCAGCCTTCAGAACTGTGAGAAATAAATTCTAATTGTTCAAAAATCAACAAAAAGGAGAAATAAACGTATCCTAGCTTTGTGACAAGAGTTAGTTTTGTAACTTAGAGCACGATATCTTGAAACTTGGAGCAAGGCAATTTGGAGTCAGGCTCCTGCTGCCCTCCCACAGAAACAGAGATAAGGATGCTATGTCCTGCTGATTGCATTTCAAAGAAATAGTTCCCAGGTCTTGGAGAAAGACTTTCCTGGGTTGTAAAACTGACAAAGCTTTTTTAAAGATTATGCATCGACTAAAGGTAAAATGACCAAAAAAAAAAAAAAAATTGGCATCTCGAAGTATCAGAGAGAAAATTTACAAGTTTTCTAAAGCAAATGCTCTAAGAAGAGGGAGGTCAGGGGCCTCCCTCAGGAGGAAGCCCGCCTAAAGGGAAACATGAGCTTGTCTTGGTCTTGAATCTTCTACTGCACAAAAGCCCCTATCTGTTATTCACCATATTAATTATTTGGTGATCAAGAAGCAATGTTTTAAACATTTCACAACTGACCAGATGTTTTGTTTTATAAGAATTATATTTAGGTACCTTACCATGCTTTAGTTAACCTTTTAAGAAATTGATTGAGGGTTTGGGGTTGACATAGTATAATTTTTCTGTTTAAAATAAAATAAATAGGCTGAAGGTTAGCATTTTCATGCAGAACAACCAATTTTCAGTAATAGATTACTGATGTTAAGCAGGAGAGGACTACATTTCTAAATTGTTTAATTTTTTTAAATGACAGACCCAAACTTCTTTTCAAAGAACAGCCTCTCTGACAGGTTGATTCAGTGCAGGCGCACTGCATTCTGAATCCTAGGGCAAGGCCATGTTTAATGAGCTTTCTCTCTGCATCCCCCACTTCTATTCCCACCCACTAAGACCCAGGGCTGACTGGCCATCAACTCAAAGACTAACAGCGGGACGATCTCACTGGCGGGACGATCTCACTGGCGGGTTGCCTAGGAGGCTTGGGAGTGAATAACAGGCATCTGGTTCTAAGATCCACAGCGCAGATTTAAGGAAAAAACAGCTGTTAGCCATACTCCCTCTACCCCAAAACAGTTTTTAAAAATTGCTGTTGGAAGCCAAGAATGATAAGCAAACAAAACAATAGAATAGAAAATAACAAGGCTGGGCGCAGCGGCTCATGCCTGAAACCCCAACACTTTGGGGGCCAAGGTGGGAGGATTGTTTGAGCCCAGGGGGTTGAAACCGGCCTGGGCAACATACTGAGATGCTGTCTGTATAAAAATTTGTGAAAATAGCTTGGTGTAGTGGTGTGCACCTGTGGTCCTAGCTACTTGGAAGGCTGAGGAGAGAGGGTTTCTTGAGCTCAGGAGTTGGAGGTTGCAGTGAGCTATGATTTTACCACTACACTCCAGCCTGGGTGACAGAGTGAGACCCTATCTCTAAACAAAGAAAAGAAAAGAAAACAGCCAGGCGCGGTGACTCACGCCTGTAATCCCAGCACTTTGGGAGGCTTAGGTGGCCAGATCACCTGAGGTCAGGAGTTCGAGACGAGCATGGAGAAACCCTGTCTCTACTAAAAATACAAAATTAGCTGGGCGTGGTGGCACATGCCTGTAATCCCAGCTACTCAGAAGGCTGAAGCAGGAGAATTGCTTGAACCCGGGAGGCGGAGGTTGCAGTGAGCCGAGATGGCACCATTGCACTCCAGCCTGGGTAACAAGAGCGAAACTCCATCTCAAAAAAAAAAAAAAAAAAAAAAGAGTCCGGGTGCGGTGGCTCACACCTGTAATCCCAGCACTTTGGGAGGGCGAGATGGTTGCATCACGAGGTCAGGAGATCGAGACCATCCTGGCTAACACAGTGAAACCCTGTATCTACTAAAAAAAATACAAAAAATTAGCCAGGCGTGGTGGTGGGTGCCTGTAGTCCCAGCTACTCGGGAGGCTGAGGCAGGAGAATGGCGTGAACCCGGGAGGCAGAGTTTGCAGTGAGCCAAGATTGCGCCACTGCACTCCAGCCTGGGCTGGGCACAGAGCAAGACTCCGTCTCAAAAAAAAAAAAAAAAAGAAAAGAAAAGGAAAAGGAAAGAAAATAAAACAGTGCAATGGTGTAAGGCTAAGTATTAATTCAGTCACGTATGTGTGTCTGTGTGCCTGTGTCCTGGGTCATAAGATAAGCTGTGTTTCTTTGAGAACTGGCCTAGGAAATCCCTAATAGTTACCTGAAGGGAAGGAAGAAAGAAGTCAGTTGATACTAAATGTCTTAGATAGCTACAGGTCAGGCTTTGAGATCTTAGTTCCATCCCCGCAATTTACCTACCAATCAGTATTATTGGTAGTCCATATCACCTGAGGAGTCTTCAGCTGTCCCAAGTCTGGCATTTGAAACACAAAACTCGGCCAGGTGCAGTGGCTAACACCTGTAATCCCAGCACTTTGAGATGCCAAGGCGAGCAGATCACTTGAAGTCAGGAGTTCGAGACCAGCCTAGTTAATATGGCGAAACCCCGTGTCTACTAAAAATACAAAAATTAGCCAGGTGTGGTGGTGCACATCTGTAATCCCAGCTACTTGGGAGGCTGAGACAGAAGATTCGCTTGAACCTGGGAGGCAGAAGTTGCAGTGACCCAAGATTGCACCACTCACTGCATTCCAGCCTGGGTGACAGATTGAGACTCGGCCTCAAAAAAAAAAAAAAAAAAAGAAATCCAAAACTCATTGCATTACCACTCTCCTCCAGTTTCTCTCACCTCCTGGCAAGCAGCCTCTTCACATATTTTAGGTAAGCCAGTAAGAAATAAAGAGGGTAAGTATGCATAAAGAAAAAACATGGCCGGGTGCAGTGGCTCACGCCTATAATCAGCACTTTGGGAGGACAAGCCAATCAC
This sequence comes from Homo sapiens, assembly GCF_000001405.40. Classification (NCBI taxonomy): domain Eukaryota; kingdom Metazoa; phylum Chordata; class Mammalia; order Primates; family Hominidae; genus Homo; species Homo sapiens. Next base: position 32,037,638 of record NC_000012.12, on the reverse strand, counting down.
TTGAGCTCAGGGGTTTGAGACCAGCCTGGGCAACACGGCGAAACCCTATCTCTACAAAAAACTATGAAAAATTAGGCCGGGTGCAGTGGCTCACGCCTGTAATCCCAGCACTTTGGGAGGCCGAGGTGGGCGGATCATGAGGTCAGGAGATCGAGACCATCCTGGCTAACAAGGTGAAACCCCGTCTCTACTAAAAATACAAAAAAATTAGCCGGACGTAGTGGCGGGCATCTGTAGTCCCAGCTACTTGGGAGGCTGAGCCAGGAGAATGGCGTGAACCCGGGAGGTGGAGGTTGCAATGAGCTGAGATCACGCCACTGCACACCAGCCTGGGCGACAGAGTGAGACTCCGTCTCAAAAAACAAAAAACCAAAAACCAAAACAACGAAAATTAGCTGGGCATGATGGCATAAGCCTGTAGCCCCAGAGATTCAGGAAGCTGAGATGGGAGGATTGCTTGAGCCCAGGAAGTCGAAGCTGTAGTGAGCTGAGATCGTGTCACTGCACTCCAGCCTAGGTGACAGAGCGAGACCTTGTCTCAAAAACAAAACAAAACAAAACAAAAAATGCTACATCAGCTTGTTTTTATAGATAGATATGAACAAACAAACAAAAGTAATTTCAAGGGACTATACGGAACATCTTAAACCAAGTTTGATCATTTTTACAAATGAGAAAAAGTTAATACCATTGACATTAATGATTGGCTTGAGGTAATATAGCAATAATGATCTCAACTCAGTATTGTGGTACTAGTGATAGATTAAGAGGAAGAAACGAGCTCTTCGTATTTTCAGACCAAGGTTCTCCTGGCCTATTCCACGCCCCGGACACAGAGTGTGTGAGTGGCACTTACGTGTGGATATGTTTTCATTCAGTCTCACTCTGGAGTCCCTGCGCTGTGCTTCTGGGGCTTTGGGACTGTCTGGAACACAGCAGGAGGCAGCACCTTGTGGTGGTGAGTGAAGCTGCCATTCCTCTCCATTCATCCTGAATTTACCTGGAGTCAAAGTATCTTGGGAGAGATGCTGGATCTAATTGGATTTCACTAATCAGTTGCCTAAGTGGAGTTTGGGGATGGGGACTCCCAAGGGTGTTCTGAGCAGGACATTTTCATATCTGTAGCTTAGGGACACCTTGTGGAGATTTTATCCATAGCTAACTAAAACATCCAAAAAGAAAACAAAACCACAAGTGGTTTGAAACTTAAGAATTTTCTTGGCCAGGCACGGTGGCTCATGCCTGTAATCCCAGCACTTTGGGAGGCCACGGCAGGTGGATCACTTGAGGTCAGGAGTTCAAGACCAGCCTGGCCAAGATGGTGAAATCTCGTCTCTACTAAAAATACAAAAATTAGCCGGGCGTGATGACAGGCACCTGTAATCCCAGCAACTCGGGAGGCTGAGGCAGAAGAATTGCTCCAACCTGGGAGGTGGAGGTTGCAGTGAGCCAAGATTGCACCACTGCATTCCAGCCTGGGCGACAGAGCGCGAGACTCCATCTAAAAAAAAAAAAAAAAAAAAAAAAAAAAGAGCAAAATTAACTTAAAAAGGCTGTCATTTGCCCTAAATGGGATGCGTACTTCACAGAGTGATAAGGAAATTCACCTCTGCATCTGCATATGTTACCTTGTCATTTTCAGGCACGATCTGCTTAAAAGAATTATTATCATTTGAAGTAGACACTGATTCTTCTTCAGCAAATTTGTGTCTTCTATTTTTTCATGTAGTCAATGATATTACTACAGCCTTCACCGGGGATGGTAAATGTTGATAAATATTTTGTGCAATTTATACATGCATCATTAGCTTCCTTGAGAAACTCAAAGTTCAGACTTAATTTTTCTTTTTCTTTCTTTTTTTTTTTTTTGAGATGGAGTCTCGCTCTGTCACCCAGGCTAGAGTGCAGTGGCTCGATCTCAGCTGCTGCAACCTCTGCCTCCCGGGTTCAAGCAATTCTCTGCCTCAGCCCCCCACGTAGCTGGGACTACAGGCACAGGCCACCACACCCAGCTAATTTATTTTTATTTTTATTATTTTTTTGAGACAGAGTCTCACTCTGTCGCCCAGGCTGGAGTGCAGTGGTGTGATCTCAGCTCACTGCAACCTCCACCTCCTAGGTTCAAGTGATTCTCCTGCCTCAGCCTCCCGAGTAGCGGGATTATAGGCATGTGCCACCATGCCTGGCTAATTTTTTTTATTTTTATTTTTAGTAGAGTTGGGGTTTCACTATATTGGCCAGGGTGGTCTCGAACTCCTGACCTTGTGATCTGCCTGCCTCGGACTCCCAAAGTGCTGGGATTACAGGCGTGAGCCACTGTGCCCAGCCTAATTTTTCCTTCTTTAAGAACTTTTGTGTCTGGGCACAGTGGCTCACACCTGTAATCCCAGCACTTTGGGAGGCTGAGGCTGGAGGATCGCTTGAGCTCAGGAGTTTGAGACCAGCCTGGGCAGCAAAGTAAGACCTCATCTCTACAAAAAATAAAAGTTAGCTGGGCATGGTTGTGAGCACCTGGGGTCCCAGCTACGCAGGAAGCTGAAGTAGGAGAATCACTTGAGCCCAGGAGGTCAAGGCTGCAGTGAGCTGTGATTGCACCACTGCACTCCAGCCTGGGCAACAGAGCAAGTCCCTGTCTTAAAAAAAAAAAAAAAAGAAAAGAAAAGAAAAGAAAAAGAAAGGAAAAAAAACCCACCAAAATAAATAAATAAAAACCCTACAAAAAGGCAAAAAAAAAAAACCTTAAAAAAAATATTATTGCAGCCGGGCGGGGTGGCTCATGCCTGTAATCCCAGCACTTTGGGAGGCTGAGGCAGGCGGATCACCGGAGGTCAGGAGTTCGAGACCAGCCTGGCCAACATGATGAAACCCCGTCTCTACTAAAACTACAAAAAATTAGCCGGGCATGGTGGTGGGTGCTTGTAGTCCCAGCTACTTGGGAGGCTGAGGTAGGAGAGTCGCTTGAACCCGCTAGGCGGAGGTTGCAGTGAGCTGAGATCATGCTGCTGCACTCCAGCCTGGGTGACAGAGCAAGACTCCCTCTCAAAACAAAAACAAAAAAAAACCTTATTCTTGCTGGAAGAGTCTATAGGAAAAAAATTAATGTAAGTATAATAAATAAATGGTTATAGATGTATACTATATATATATATTTATACAATATATAATGATAAAACCACTAAGCAAAAGTGTTGCAGGAGTTAAGGATGAGCCACCCCAAAATTGGCTGATGTGATGTACTGATTATTTCAAGCTGAAAGTACTTGAGAGACTGTAATTGCAGAAAGGGCTCTCTGACCTGTCCTTTCCTACATGTAGCAAGTCATAAAAATTCCTTTGAGGAGGAGGCCTTTCCGGTACCAGGGCAAGAAAATAACCCTTATCTCCAGGGACTGGGAACTGCCACTGAGCTGGACCTGTACAGATAAACTTACTTAATAAATCCTTATCTTCCACTAGGTTTACATCCCCCCATAAATCTCCTAGTGACTCCCCTAGAATTTACTGTCCCCAACCTGGATCCCTTTGTCCAGTCCTTTCTTCACAGATTTACCATTCTTTATCTAAAAAGTAGAAAAGCTTTCCGCTTTGGCCATTTCCTCAGGTGTTCACTCTCTTGTAAGTGTCCCTTTGTACAGGTAAAAATTAATAAAACTTGTGTGCTTTTCTTCTGTTAATCTGCCTTTGTCAATTTAATTCCTAGGCCCAACTAAAGATGCCACTTAAGAACTGAGATGGTTAGAGGTGATCTTTAAATTCCCCTGCTGTGTCGACCACTTTCTCTGTACAGCGGGCAGGACTGCCCGGCCTGTTTCCTCCTGTATTTCATATACAGATGTACCAACTGATCAGGAGCATCCAATACTTCTCCTGCCATCGCCTGAGATCTGCATGAATTCATTGTCCCAAGCCACCAGCACTGGAGCACACTTCATGTAACAGCAAGCACTCTGCCTCTGCCTGCAGTCCTTGAAAAGGAAGCTATTAGTTAAATGAGGTCTGGCAAGGATTGGGAAGGGAAGAAAGATTGTCTTTTCCATTTGAAATGAACCTGAACCTGGCACAGTGCCGCATGCCTGTAGTCCCAGGTACTTGGGAGGCTAAGGCAGGAAGATCACTTCAGCCCAGGACTTCAAGGCTAGCCTTGGCAATATAGTGAAACCCTATCTCTAAAAAATAGAGTGAGAGTGAGAGAGAGAGAGCTCACAGCACAAGTGCCTCACACACCACCAAATGAGACCATGATAGAAGCTAGAAGTGCAAAGTGCAAGTCTACCAAACCCATCCCAGCTAATTTTGATAACACTATTAACAATACCCTGTTTATGGTTTTTGTTTTTTTTTTTTTTTTTGAGACAGAGTCTGTCTCTGTCACCGAGGCTGGAGTGCAGTGGCGCATCTCTGCTTACTGCAAGGTCCGTCCCCTGGGTTCATGCCATTCTCCTGCCTCAGCCTCCCGAGTAGCTGAGACTGCAGGCACCCGCCACCATGCCCGGCCAATTTTTTTGTATTTTTAGTAGAGAAGGGATTTCACCGTGTTAGCCAGGATGGTCTCAATCTCCTGACCTCGTGATCTGCCCGCCTCGGTTTATGTTTTTTTAAAATGGGACAAGGGAAAGGTTTGCCGGTCCAAGGAAAACTTCTACCAATCCTCCCATTTACCTTTGGTTGTATAGAATATAGCAAAAATGAGTTTTGAGAGTAAGGATTTTATTCAACTTCATTTCACAAACATTTACTGAGCATCTTCTAAGAGTCAGGAGCAATATGAAGGCCCCCTACCCTAAAGGAGTTGACATTTCCTCAGGTGATGCAGACACTGCCTGAAAGCTATGACTGCAATCGGGTCCTGCTACCAGCATGAGTAAAGTGTAATAGGATCTCAGAAGTAGGGCTCAATTAATTCTCCCTGGAAGAGTTAGGAAATGCTTCACAGATGAGGTGATACTTGAGCTGGCCTTTGGAGTAAAGCGAGTAGGATTTTTTCCGTCAGCTGGAGAAGCAGTAAAAGGGTTTTCTAGATACAGGACACATACAACATGAGCAACATGAGCAGCTTGCACATTCTAGGGACTGGCAAGCTGATTTGAAGGAAAGTGAGAAGTTTCATACGGCTGGCACAAAACAAGTATATGACAGGAGCAAGAAGATGCAAGTAAAAATGGTTTGATCTATGGACATAAACAAAGACCAACCGAAAGAGAACAATCAAAGGCTATTTATCCAGAGCCTGCTACAGCAAGAGCGTCAGTCACAGTCACTTGTGTTTTGGCAAAGACTCAAAGGCAGGCAGAGGAGTGGGAAATTTTTATAGTGGAAAAAGAGAAGGTTTCAAGTATGCCCTGATAGCTGCCAGCTTTGCCTGTCACGGGACTCATGACTATAACCCCAGCACTTTAGGAGGCTGAGGCAGGAGGATTTCTTGACCCCAGGAGTTTGAGACCAGCCTGGGCAACACAGTGAGATCTCATCTCTACAAAAAATTAAAAATAAAATTAGCCAGGCTTGGTGGCAAATGCCTGTAGTCCCAGCAACTTGGGAGGTTGAGGTGGGAGGACTGCATGAGCCTGGGAGGCTGAGGATACAGTGAGCCATGATCGTGCCACTGCAACTCCAGCCAGGGTAACAGAGTGAGACCCTGTCTCAAGTAACTGCCAGCTTCTCTCATTTCTGTCCCAGCTTCCAATTTAGGACCCACAGGAGAAAGCCAAATATGCACCCCTAACCAATCCCATAGGATGCGCCTCTTCTAGTTAGCTGCCTACAGCTTCTCCAGGTCGACAGCGTCCAATCAGGGTAGACCTGAAACTTTTTGCTTTTTCCACTATCAAGTTTTCGCAGTCCTCTGCTTGACTTTGACTTTTTACCAAATGCACATGATGGTGGCTCTCTCTCTTGCTATATAGCAAGCTCTGATTAGATAGCCTTTATTTGTTCTCCTGTAGGTGGTCTTTATTTCCATACAATCAAGTCTAAGCTGCTACCTGGACTATCTCAAGCCTCCTAAATGGTCTCACTCTTCAACTCTTCTCTGATAAATAAGTTGATGCCAGTTATCTAAATCTTTCAAAGTATATAAAACATAGAGTTGATGATGAAAATTTTGCACTGTGTTTGTGCCTGCCATCTTCAGTGCCTCCATCCCTACTTCTGACTCTGTAGTGTATGCCCGGCTGATTTCCATGACAAGGTTTGCTCTGGCAGCCTGAACTGTAACACTCCCCCAGCAGTTCATAACCAGCTCCCTCACTCATCCTGTGGGTAAGTCTGGGTCATGCTCTCTACACTGAGTCCCAGGGTTCTGCAGCAAGATGCAGCTACAGTTGCTCACAGTGGCAGCTGGATTGATAGCTCACCCTTTTCTTAACTGCTTTTCCCTTCCATCCTTATCTCACGTCGCCAGTCCTCCACCAGTGTTTCCTGAGATCACCTCCCAGTGAATTATTAATACTTGCTTTCAAATCCTTTCTCAGGGTGTGTGTCTGTGGGAACCCAAGAGAATACAGCCAGAATTAGAAATAACTCAAATCACCTTATTCAAATAACTAACAACTACAGGAGGAAGAGGAGACCAAATTGCCACTTCCCGCATAGGTTTTCACTAATATATATGCTTGGCAAGAATAAGGAAAAGAGAGTACCCAAGTTATTTTAAAAAGAAGTAAAAAAAAGAAAAGAAGAAAAATTGTTAATGCCATTTACAATTTCAAAAATGACTGCATGTGGTTCATTAACAAGCATTTTCTAATCATAAATAAGTTGCATCACTCCGTGCAGTTATTTAAGGCTGTTGAATTCATACAAAACTAGAGGTAAAAGATTACAATGCAGATGACTAAAGGCAGAATTAGCAGTAAAATAATTTGATGGAGGAGACAAATGGCTTTACATGGAATGGAAGAAAACCTGACAGAAAATCTATCACTTGTGGTAAATGGGGGAGTATTGTACCATTAGTAAAATAGTAATATTAAAAACAAAAAAGCAAATGTTTGTTTGTTTTTGAGACAGAGCTTTGCTCTGGTTGCCCAGGCTGGAGCACAATGGCACAATCTCGGCTCACTGCAACCTCCGCCTCCGGGGTTCAAGCGATTCTCCTGCCTCAGCCTCCCAAGTCGCTGGGATTACAGACGTGTGCCACCACGCCCATCTAATTTTTGCATTTTTTTTTTAGTAGAGACGGGGTTTCAGCATGCTGCCCACGCCGGTCTCGAACTCCTGACCTCATGTGATCCACTTGCCTTGGCCTCCTAAAGTGCTGGGATTATAGGCGTGAGCCACCCCACTCGGCCTATTTATTTCTTTTGAGACAGGGTCTGGCTCTGTCACCCAGGCTGGAGTGCAGTGGTGAGATTACGACTCACTGCAACTTCCACCTCCTAGGCACAAGGGATCCTCCCACCTCAGCCTCTTGAGCAGTTAGGACTACAAGCTCATGACACCACACCCGGATAATTATTTTATCTTTAGTAGAGATGAGGGCTCACGATGTTGCCCAGGCTGGTCTTGAACTCCTGGCCTCAAGAAATCTACCCACCTTGGCCTCCCAAAGTGCTGGGATTACAGGTGTGAACCACCACACCCAGCTTAAAATACCTTTAATTAACTTCAAAAATAGCAGCAATAAATACAATTATTAATTAATTTATTTTTATTTATTTATTTTTGAGACAGAGTTTCACTCTGTAGCCCAGGCTGCAGTGTGGTGGTGTTATCTTGGCTCACAGCAACCTCTCCCTCCTGGGTTCAAGCGATTCTCCTGCCTCAGCCTCCCAAGTAGCTGAAATTACAGGCATCTATCACCATGCCCAGCTAAATTTTTTATATATATATATATTTAGTAGAGATGGGGTGTCACCATGTTGGCCAGGCTGTTCTCAAATTCCTGACCTCAAGTGATCCACCCACCTCGACCTCCCAAAGTGCTAGGATTACAGGTGTGAGGCTGTGCACAGGGCCTCTTTCTTTCCTTCCTTTCTTCCCTTTCTTTTCTTCTTTCTTTCTCTTTCTTCCTTTCCTTTCTTCCTTTCTTTCCTTTCCTTCCTTCCTCCCTCTTTCTTTCCTTTCTTCCTTTCTTCTTTCTTTCTTTTGCTTTCTTTCTTTCCTTTTCCTTTCTTCCTTTCCTGTCTTCCTTTCTTTCCTTTCCTTTCCTTCCTTTCTCCCTCTTTCTTTCCTTTCTTCCTTTCTTCCTTTCTTCTCTTTCTTCCTTCCTTTCTTTCTCTCTTTCTTCTTTCTTTTTCTTTCTCTTTCCTTTTCCTTTCTTCCTTTCCCTTCCTTTCTTTCCTTTCCCTTCCCTTCCTTCCTTCCTCCCTCCCTTCCTCCCTGCCTCCCTCCCGCTCTCTCTTTCTTTCTTTTCTTCTTTCCCTCCCTCCCTCCTTCCTTCCTTCCCTCCTTCCCTCCTTCCCTCCTTCTTTTCTTTCCTACAGGGTCTCTCACTCTCTCACCCAGACTGGAGTGCAGTGGTGCTATCACAGCTCACCACGACCTCTGCCTCTCAGGCTCAAGCAATTCTCTTGCCTAAGCCTCCCAAGTAGCTGGGATTACAGGTGCTCGCCACCATGCCCAGCTAATTTTTGTATTTTTTTTAGTAGAGACAGGGTTTCACCGTGTTGTCCAGGCTGGTCTCAAACTCCTGACCTCAAATGATCCACCCACTTCGGCCTCCCAAAGTGCTGGGATTGCAGGCATGAGCCACAGAGCCTGGCCTACTTATTTTTAAGACCGGGTTTTACTCCCATCACCCAGGCTGGAGTGAAGTGGCGTGATGTGGGCTCACTGCAACCTCCGCCTCCTTGGCTCAAGAGATTCTCCCACCTCAGCCCCATGAGTAGCTGGGATTACAGGCCCACACCACTGCACCCAGCTAATTTACAAATAACACATTTTTATCTGTTTTTTTTTTTTTTTTTAGACGAAGTCTCACTCTGTCACCCAGGCTGGAGTGCAGTGGCACAATCTTGGCTTACTGCAACCTCCGGCCTCCCGGGTTCAAATGATTCTCCTGCCTCAGCCTCCTGAGTAGCTGGGATTACAGGTGTGCACCACCACGTCCTGCTAATTTTTTTGTATTTTTAGTAGAGACAGGTTTTTGTTTGTTTGTTGGTTATATGTAAAAAATGTTTACTTAGAAATAGAATGCTTGTTCCTTGGTGCTACGAAGAAATAGCACTCGAACATAAATTTAATTCTCTTAGCATGGCAATCTTTACTTTTTGCAGAAAGTCAAGTATTCACCACAGATGGAATAATGGCAAGAGCACACCTGAACAATGGAGGGAAGTAATTTTTATCCTTTACGCAGTTTGTCCCTGCTACTGTGTCCTGTCTCCATTGGCTAAAGCCAGACCTCACAATCTAAACTAAAACCTGATTAGCTAACAGTTTAAAACTTTTCTAAATAGGCAAAGGCAATAGAAAGACAAAGGAAAAGAGGAAGTTACTTACGAAAGGACTTAGAAAGGTAATAACATTCTTAAATAAGGAAGGGGCATAGGCTGCGAGCCGGGACAGGCCTGTGCGCATGTCTAGCATACAGTTAGTCTTTAAAAGAAACTACTATTTCTAACACTTATGATTTATTCTTGAACAAGAAGGGAAACTTTGAAGAGGAACTTTTTACTTTCTACAATTTCCTTGTCTTGTTTTTATAGTTTTCTTCTTCAAACTTTTTTTTTTAAATATGTCTTGGCTTAGTTGTTTTGATTAGCTTTTAAATGTATGGTATAACATAACATGACATCTAATAAGGAGAAGTATACTTATTACAGTTGCTAGAGAAGTAAGGACTGAGGCCATGGTCTCTTTCTGTTGGCTGAACTATTTCTCGAGCTAATTTGAAATAGAGTTGTTAATGCTGGAATTTTTTGCTAACTTATTTAATAAGGCAGTAAGTCCTTGGAGGGTCCTTGTTATGCTCCCATTGGGAGCAGTGTTGTTTGGAATAAAGGTGCAACACTGAGTTTTGATTATAATATAAACACTACCTTTCTTTGTTAATATTATATTTAAAGTTATCTTATTTTCTCAGGCCATTTGACTTGTGGGTTTTAATTGTTCAGCTATTTCTTTAACAGCATCTTTGGTATAGTTAATAAATTGCTGCTGGTAGTAATAAATGCAGTTTATTTAATCTACATTTTTATTAATTGCTACTCACTAAAACAACATTGACTTAAACCTTGCAGCTATTTGATCTCTGGTTTTAAATTTATTTGGTACTCTGTGAGGACCTCTAATTGCATCTGAATAGACATGGGAATCAAAATAGCTGTAAGGGGCTGCTTCTTTTGAGGCTTCTTTTATTTGCTTATGTCGTAATTTCTCTTTTTCTGATTGATGAAATGCCAGGGTAAAAGGGATAGCTAATTGAACTAGAGCATAAGTGCTGCTCTAATTATTTGGTAGAGTGTCTAGTAAAGGTTTTTTACAGTATTACTATGCATCCGCTTGGGGATGAATAAGGGTGGACTGATGGGTTAGCTTTTGGAAGTGCCTGACCTCGCTGTATCATGTTAAGTCTTCAAAGTACGCTAAATTTTCCTTTTATCGTTGGAGACACGAGGTAAAATTGGTCTTGGAAGATGGAGGCTGAATGGCCCTCGGGGGGCTGACCCTCAGGGTACTGCACTTTAGGAAATAGTAGAGAGAGTTTGGCACACTTTACTATCTTAGGCTGCAGGATTTTGATACCGGCCGGGTGCAGTGGCTCACGCCTATATCCCAGCACTTTGGGAGGCCGAGACGGGCGGATCACGAGGTCAGGAGATGGAGATCGAGACCATCCTGGCTAACAGGGTAAAACCCCGTCTCTACTAAAAATACAAAAAAAAAAAAAAAAAAAAAGTTAGCCGGGCTTGGCAGCGTGCGCTTGTAGTCCCAGCTACTTGGGAGGCTGAGGCAGGAGAATGGCTTGAACCCGGGAGGTGGAGCTTGTAGTAAGCCGAGATTGCGCCACTGCACTCCAGCCTGGGCGACAGAGCGAGACTCCGTCTCAGATAAAAAAAAGAAAAAAAGACAAAAGAAGAAAAGGAGCTACCATGCAGTCCATGCCTTGTCGATTAGAGGACTATCTGAGTGGAAAGGGGATAACTTGGACTTCTAGCCTACTGTGTGCACAAGCATAACAATTGCTTTTATTTAGAGTGCGGACAGAATATTTAATGTATTTTAGCTAGTCATTTACATCTTGATATCTTGTTTTAATTGCTGTGGTTTGCTTTAGATTTTTTTACTTTTACTACAAAGACTTTGGTTTTGTCATTTGGTATGAGAGGAGTGATAACTGAACAGGCATTAAAAGTAATAATTTGAGGTGAGTTAGATTTAGTTACATTAATAAGATGGGGAGTAGTTAAAGGAAAGAAAAGATAGATAAAGTTTTCTTAGCTTTAACTTGGTAGGGCTTGACCCTGGAACAATGACCTATAACTTTGATGGTGATGACGCTTTTTTGACTTGGGTATGATGTGTCTATCCTTTTCTGCTGTGCGAACGGCAGTCTCGGTGGTTAGCAGCACAAGGTAGGGTTCTTAGGCTGCCTCGAGTTTTTCTTCTTTCTATCTTTTGATGAGGATGTGGTTTCCAGGCAGGTGCTGGTGTACGGCTCCTCTGGTTTGTTTCCTTTCTTGGCTCATGCATGAGGTCGCCTGGTCCACATCATATGTGAGGATCATTTACTCCAGATTGCTGGCCAGTTTCTTCTGCCTTGTTGAGAGTCCGGGTCTATTCATCACACCAGATGGGTCTCAATTTCTTACTACCCCTGAGGCCACCACAATGAGGCAGTGGGAGACCCCCTCATGAGAGGACTAGAGACCACCCCAGAGGAAAATGTATCCCTGTACGGACCACCATTTCTTATATGTAAAAATGTTTATTTAGAAATAGAATGCTTGTTCCCCAGTGCTACAAAGAAATAACATTCAAACATAAATTTAATTCTCTTAGCAAGGCAAACTTTACTTTATGCAGAAAGGGGCTCATAGCAGATGGAATAATGGCGAGAGCACCAGTAGAGACAGGTTTTCACCATGTTAGCCAGGCTGGTCTTGAACTCCTGAGCTCAAGTGATCACCTGCCTCAGGCTCCCAAAGTGCTGGGATGGAAAAGGAGAGTGCCTTGGATTGGCCCTGGCGAAGCAGGGACCATCCCTTTATCTGCACAGGGCGCCAGTTCACCTCAGTCTTTAATTTGCCACAGACCAAATCCTTCATCTAGATAAGAACCTCAAATGAGGTACTTAAAGCCCAGAAAGCTTTGTAACTGCACCCTTGAGCTGCTTGCTCAGGCCCACTCCCACCCTGTGAAGTGCTTTCTCGCTTTAATGAATTCCTGCTCTCGTTGCTTCATTCCTGCATTTCATTTCTCTGCTACTTCGTACGTTTTGTTCAATTCTTTGTTCAAAATGCCAAGGACCTGGACAACTCGTAGTCAAGACCCTCTACCAGTAACACTTGTTGCTCCTATTCCTCCTGGTGCTATTTATTGCTACTGCACATGTACCCTGTGCCCAAGGGTAGAACGACTTTCCAGCTTCTGAAGCACAGAGGCTTGGGGAGGACAGATTGTCATGTGACTCAGGACTTCACTGAACCTTGTTCATACAGTTGACCACATTCCTTTGTTTGGATCACTAAGGGAGAGTCATTATCATTACAAGGCAAGATCCTGGGCAAAGCACATTTTAGACCCCAAAATATTTTGTCCTCTTTGCAAGGCATTTCATCTATTATTTCCTTTTTAATCCAGGATGGGCAAAAAAAGAAGTTGTAATGTTTGTATTCCATATTTGTCGTTACAAAAGAAAGATATTTTCATATTCCAAAATTGTAAAAGTAAACAAAACACAGTAACAACAACGAAAACTATAATCAGAAGGAAGGGCACCAGGTTCAGACAGTGGTGGCTTTGAAAGAAGAAGTAAGTGAGATTGAAATTGAGAGAATTAAAAAAAAGATTTTAAGTTTTTTTTTTTTTTTGAGACAGGGTCTCACTCTGTCACACAGGCTGGAGTGCAGTGATGCAATCTCAGCTCATTGCAACCTCTGCCTCCCTGGCTCAACTGATCCTCCCACCTCAGCCTCCTGAGTAGCTGGGACTACAGGCGGGTACCACTACGCCCAGCTAATTTTTATATTTTTTTGTGGAGATGGGGTTTAGACATGTTGCCCAGGCTGGTCTTGAACTCTTGAACTCAAGCGATCTGTTCATCTTGCCCCCGCCCCAAAGTGCTGAGATCGCATACTGCACTCCAGCCTGGGCAACAGAGCAAGGCTCCATCTCAAAAAAAAAAAAGATAAAAAGCTACACACCGCTGGGCGTGGTGGCTCAAGCCAGTAATTCCAGCACTTTGGAAAGCCAAGGCGAGTAGATCATGAGGTCAAGAGATCGAGACCATCCTGGCCAACATGGTGAAACCCTGTCTCCACTAAAAATATAAAAATTAGCTGGGCGTGGTGGTGCGTGACTGTAATCCCAGTTATTCAGGAGGCTGAGGCAGGAGAATCGCTTGAACCTGGTATGCGGAGATTGCAGTGAGCCGAGATGGCGCCACTGCACTTCAGCCTGGCGAATAAGCAAGACTCCGTCTCAAAAAAAAGCTACATACCTCCCTCACAATTTGCCCAGAAGGAAATTCCTTGTGGACAAGGGACAGACAGAACTCAGTCATCCCTCTGAGGAGGCTCACCTGAGACAAATGCATATCTGATTGCTTCCCCTGCCCTATTGTTTATGTAAAAATGCAGATTCACTGAGCCAGCCTAAATTGTGTATTCAGTGGAAAGATGATCAAGGATTTAAAAGAATGCAACCTTTTGTCTCTTACCTATGTGGGACCTGGAAGCCCTTGCCTCAAGTTATCCCGCGTTACCAGAACGAACCAATGCACATCTTACACATATTGATTAATGTCTCATGTCTCCCTAAAATGTATACAAGCAAGTTGCACACCGACCACCTTGGGCACATGTCGTTAGGACCTCCTGAAGCTGTGTCACAGGCACATCCTTAACCTTGGCAAAATAAACTAAGCTGATTAAGACCTGTCTCAGATACCTTTTGGTTTACAATAGCAAAACCCCGTCTCTAAACAAACAAACAAAAGCAAAAAGAAAAAATTAGGGAAAAGACTATTCTTTCCCTTTTCTTAAAGCATTTTCTTTAGAGGATTTGTCATTGTAAATTCTCTCTGCCCCTGTGAGATGTATATAAATCTTTCTTTTCTTTTCTTTTCTTTTTTTTGAGATGGAGTCTTGCTCTGTTGCCCAGGCTGGAGTACAGTGGTGCTATCTCAGCTCACTGCAACTTCCGCCTCCGGGGTTCAAGTGATTCACTTGCCTCAGCCTCCCAGGTAGCTGGGATTACAGGCACGCGCCACCACATCTGGCTAATTTTTTGTATTTTAGTAGAGATGGGGTTTCACCATGTTGGCCAAGATGGTCTCCATCTCCTGACATCGTGATCCAACCGCCTCGGCCTCCCAAAGTGCTGGGATTACAGGCATAAGCCAACGCGCCTGGCCCCAGATGTATATAAATCTTTCTAAAAGCCTCTTGTAAATGTGTAAAACCCAGGAATGTCTTTCTCAAGGACTTGAGATCTCTTTGAAATGTAAGCATCAAAAATGGCAGTGCTCCTATCTACCAGTGATACAGCTCCGATGAGTGGAGGAACACCAGGGTTCTTGGTCCTCGTGCCAGTTTAGATAAAACGACACAGACACACGTGGAGTGGTTTTAAGGAGTGGAGAGCTTGAGAGCTTAATAGGCAAGAAGAGGCAAGAAGGAAGGGAGGAGGAACAAGCTCCCCTGTAAAGAGACAGAGGGAGGGGGGCTCCAAAGCTGAGAGAGGGGAACCCCGACCTGCCACAGATACCAGCTAGATATATGTACACAGAGGCTGGAGGAGGCGGTGTCTGAATTGCATAGGGCTCAGGGGATTGGTTTGACTAGGCATGTCATTCACATATCTGCGAAAAAGCTGGCCCTCCCACCATAGCCTTTTAATATGCAAAAGCGGGGCACCATGATGTTCTAACACACGTGGGAATACATGGGGGCGGCCATGTTGCCAGGAACTTGTGGGGAAAGGGCAAGAAGGCAGGGGAATCACCATGTTTGGGTGGACCTAGTTTCTAATGGCTTGCATTTACATATCAAAGGTTGCCAGCCTGGCTCTAAGAGCCGGGGCTATACAAGAAACTTTTCCGAAGATGCTTTAAAGAAAACTTCCCAGCTGGGTGCGGTGGCTCACGCCTGTAATCCCAGCACTTTGGGAGGCCCAGGCGGGCAGATCACGAGGTCAGAAGATCGAGACCATCCTGGCTAACACGGTGAAACCCCGTCTCTACTAAAAAAAAAAAAAAAAAAAAAAACAAAAACAAAAAATTAGCCGGGTGTGGTGGCGGGTGCCTGTAGTCCCAGCTACTCGGGAGGCTGAGTGAGGCAGGAGAATGGCGTGAACCCGAGAGGCAGAGCTTGCAGTGAGCCGAGATAGCGCCACTGCACTCCAGCCTGGGCGACAGAGCGAGACTCCCTCTCAAAACAAAACAAAACAAACAAACAAAAAAACCCGAAAACTTCCCAAGGACCCCTTTTCTTCTCTATATACCTAAAATAATTTCTTAATAACTCCTACAGCACCAGTTCCCGTGGGAGGCAGGAGCCTAACGTTGGTGAGAATGTTGCTCCAAATTGCCAAACTACCTCCTCTCACAAAGGTATGAGAAGTTGGCCTGGCGCAATGACTCACAGCTATAATCCCAGCATTTTGGGAGGCCAAAGCAGGAGGATCACTTTCATTCAGGAGTTCAAGACTAGCCTGGGCAACATAGCAAGACCTCGTCTGTACAAAAATGAAAAATACAAAATTAGCTGGGCATGGTGATGCGCCCCTGTAGTCCTAGCTACTTGGGATGCTGAGATGGAAGGATTACCTGAACCCAGGAGGTCAAGGCTGCAGTGAGCTGTAATCATGCCACTGTACTCCAGTCTGAGTGAGAGTGAGACCCTGTCTTAAAAACAAAAACAAAACAAAACAAAAAACCAAACACAAACAACAACAAAAAAAACCCATACAGATAGGAGAAGTTTATTTTTCCTTTATGTAACACTGTCAGAGGCGTATGAACCAGAGTGACTCCATCTTGAATAGGGGCTAAGTAAAATGAGGCTGAGACCTGCTGGGATGCATTCCCAGGAGGTTAAGGCATTCTAAATCACAGGATGAGATAGGAGGTCAGCACAAGATACAGACCATAGAACAGGTTGTTGATAAAACAGTTTGCAGTAAAGAAGCCGGCTAAAACCTAGCAAAACCAAGAGGGCAATGAGAGTGACCTCAGGGCATCCTCACTGTTCACTATACACTAATTATAATATATTAGCATGCTAAAAGACAGCCCCAGTAGCGCCATGACAGTTTACAGATGCTATGGCAACATCAGGAAGTTACCCAGCATGGTCTAAAAAGGAGAGGAACCCTCAGTTCTGGGAATTACCCACCCCTTTCCCAGAAAACTCATGAATAATCCACTTCTGGTTTACCAGATAATCAAGAAGTAACAATAAGTTTAAGTGGCTGAGTGGCCCATGCTACTGCTCTGCCTATGGGGTAGCCATTCTTTATTACTTTCTTTTTTTGTTGTTTTGTTTTGTTTTGAGGCAGAGTCTCACTCTATTGCCAAGGCTGGAGTGCAATGGTGTGATCTCGGCTCACTGCAACCTCTGCCTTTCGGGTTCAAGCAATTCTCCTGCCTCAGCCTCCTGGAATTAGCTGGGATTGATTATAGGCACACACCACCAGGCTGGGCCAATCTTTGTTATTTTAATAGAGACAGGGTTTCACCATGTTGGCCAGGCTAGCCTCGAACTCCTGACCTCGTATCCGCTGGCCTCAGCCTCCCAAAGTTGTGAGGTTACAGGCGTAAGCCACTGTGCCTGGCCTACTTTCTTAATAAACTTGCTTTCACTTTACCCTATGGACTCATCCCGAATTCTTTCTTGTGCGAGAGCTAAGAACCCTTTCTTGGGGTCTGAATCAGGACCCCTTTCAGCTAACTTTACCAATTACCACAGATGGTCACCCTTAATTACCAGGTGAATTTAGAATGAACTATTTGTTACAAATAGTGCTGTCAGGTCAGCTTACTTAGGACTTGCAGCTTATCTCAAGAACATCTATGTTAAGGGTTGTGTCTGCTTAGCTACATAAAAGGGAGACTTTTACAAAACAGATTACATTCTGTTTTGTAATCTCTTAGTGGATTGCCTGTGGTGAATATCACATTTTGATTTAATGCTTATTCAATAATAAAATTATTTTTCTACTATCTTTGTGGAAAGACTTATTGGAGATTTTGTTTTTAGTTCCATTTCTCCAGCAGGTGTGTTTTATTATTCTACGTACTTTTTTGTATTTTTTTAAATTACAAAAAAAAAAAGATACATTCATGGACAACTCCTGAAAAATGCTGTCTACTTTCCTATAGTGCTATTTCCTATAAGTAAACTTCATTTTGTTCAGCAAGTAACCTTTTTTTCCCCCCAGGATCTTAATTAATTAAACGGGTTTTTGATTTACATGTCTAGAAAACTGTTTGAGACCTTAGTATTAAATGCATTTTTTAAAAATTTAGAGACTTAAGGCCGGGCGCAGTGGCTCACGCCTGTAATCCCAGCACTTTGGGAGGCCGAGGCGGGTGGATCACGAGGTCAGGAGTTCAAGATGAGCCTGGCCAAGATGGTGAAACCCCGTCTCTATTAAAAATACAAAAAAAATTAGCTGGGCGTGGTGGCACACGCCTGTAATCCCAGCTACTCTAGATGCTGAGGAGGAGAATTGCTTAAACCTGGAGGGGCGGAGGTTGCGGTGAGCTGAGATCGCACCACTGCACTCCAGCCTGGGCAACAGAGCGAGACTCCGTCTCAAAAAAAAAAAAAAAAGTTTAGAGACTTAAGAGGGAGAGTTTTATATGTAAAACGTTACAATGGAATTCACAGAGAATTTTTTTCTTGTTAAAATATGCTTAAAAATATGAGATTTAATTTGTAAAATATAATACCTGTTTTTCCTGCTAAATTTTAACTTATCTAAAACCAGGGACATTATCTTATTTGCTGCTGTATGCCCTGCTCTAACACAGAGGTAGGTACACAAAAGATGTCTAATAATTTTTGAGTTGAATAAACGGGAAGATAGATGCGTGAACTATAACAAAGCCAGAACATCGTCGTTCCCTATGTATCTGTGGGAGATTGGTTCCAGCACCTCCTTGAATAACAAAATCTGTGAGTGCTCAAATCTCTTATATAAGATGGTGTAGTATTTGCATATAACCTATGCACATCCTCCTATATACTTTAAATCCTCTCTGGATTACTTATAATACCTAATACAGTTGACTTTTTTTTTTTTTTTTTGAGACGTTGTCTCACTCTGGACCACGCTGAATTGCAGTGGCATAATCCTGGCTCACCGCAACCTCCGCTTTTCAGGAGGTTCAAGCGATTCTTCTGCCTCAGCCTCCCGAGTAGCTGGGACTATAGGCCCACTTCACTGAGCCTGGCTAATTTTTTACTTTTAGTAGAGATGGGGTTTCACTTTATGTTGGCCAGGCTGGTCTCAAACTCCCGACCTCAGGTGATCCACCCGCCTCGGCCTCCCAGAGTGCTGGGATTACAGGTATAAGCCACAGCGTCCGGCCAACAAATGTATTTTAAGGATTAATAATTTTATTGAATTACACAGTAACCCACTGAAAATGTAAATTGACTAAACCATAAAAGTAACAACAGTATTCCTTCTTTTAATTATTGTATTGAAGGAGAAAAGGAAATTTCACCCCAAAATATGACTCCCTTGTATAATGAATATTTTGAATTAAACACTCTTCTGTGAATGGTGGCTCATGCCTGTAATCCCAGTACTTTGGGAGGCCAAGGTGGGAAGATCGCTTGAGGTCAGTTCAAGACCAGCCTGGCCAACATGGCGAAACCCCATCTTTACTAAAAATACAAAAGGCCGGGCACAGTGGCTCACACCTGTAATCCCAGCACTTTGGGAGGCCGAGGCGGGCAGATCACGAGGTCAGGAGATAGAGACCTGGCTAACATGGTGAAACCGCATCTCTACTAAAAATACAAAAAAATAGCCGGGTGTGGTGGTGGGCGCCTGTAGTCCCAGCTACTCAGGAGGCTGAGGCAGGAGAATGGCATGAACCTGGGAGGCGGAGCTTGCAGTGAGCTGAGATCGCGCTGCTGCACTCCAGCCTGGGTGACACAGAGAGACTCAATCTCAGAAAAATAAAATAAAATAAAATAAAATAAAATAAAATAAAAATAAAAATACAAAAATTAGCTGTGTGCAGTGGTGTGCGCCTGTAGTCCCAGTTACTTGGGAGGCTAAGGTAGGAGAATCGCTTGAGCCTGAGAGCTGGAGGTTGCAATGAGCCGCCTGAGAGCTGGAGGTTGCAATGAGCCGAGATCGCGCCACTGCACTCCAGCCTGGATGACAGAAGTGAAACCCTGTCTCAAAACAAACAAACAAACAAACAAAAAATTCTTAGAAACTGAGCCTGGTGGCCAGGCATGGTGGCTCACGCCTGTAATCCCAGCACTTTGGGAGGCCAAGGCAGGCAGATCACCTAAGGTCAGGAGTTCAAGACCAGCCTGGCCAACATGGAGAAACCCTGTCTCTACTAAAAATACAAAACTTAGCTGGGCGTGGTGGTGGGCACCTGTAATCCCAGCTACGCGGGAAGCTGAGGCAGGAGAATCGCTTGAACTCAGGAGGCGGAGGTTGCAGTGAGCAGAGACCCCGTCATTGCACTCCAGCCTGGGTGAGAAGAGCAAAACTCCGTCTCAAAAAATAAAAATAATAAATAAATAAATAAATAAATAAATAAATAATCTGGGCCTGGTGGCTCATGCCTGTAATCCCAGCACTTTGGGAGGCCAAGGCATGCAGATTGCTTGAGCCCAGGAGTTCAAGACTAGCCTGGGAAACTTGATGAAATGCCGTCTCTCCAAAAAAATACAAAAATTAGCCGAGCATGGTGATGTGTACCTGTTATCCCAGCTGCTCGGGAAGCTGAGGTGGGAAGATCCTTTGATCCAGGAGGTGGAGGCTGCAATGAGCCTCAAGGGAGCCAGTACACTCCATCCTGGGCAACAAACAGAGTGAGACCCTGTCTGAAAATAAATAAATAAATAAATAAATAAATAAATAAATAAATAAATAAAATAAATAATAAATAAATAAATAAAATAAAAACTCTTAGAGATTATCAGGCCTTGGAAGAGATTTTTCCCCAATCTACATAAAGACCCAGAGCCCCCAAGAGAACAATTGCTTTTTCTTCCCTTCCCTGTTATCTCATTATCTATTGCAGGAAAGAAGGTGAGGAAGGTAACCAGAGCAGGCCCAATCCTTTTGCAAAATAATGTCTGTCTCTCAGGTTCATTTAACTTCCAAAGAAAACTATTTGCAAGTCAATCTGTGTTCCCCCATCCATTTATTCACCTAAATCATCACTTAATGCCCCTCTACTGAACTACCTATATTCCCCATCTCCCCCACCCCTCTGAAAAGAGGTTATATAAGTGTTTGGGGCCAGGTGCTGAGGCTAGTGCCTGTAATTCCAACACTTTGGGAGGTCCAGGTGGGCAGATCACTTGAGGTCAGGCATTGGAGACCAGCCTGGCCAACATGGTGAAACCCTATCTCTGCTAAAAATATAAAAATTAGCTGGGTGTGGTGTCGGGCGCCTGTAATCCCAGCTACTCTGGAGGCTGAGACAGGAGAATTGCTTAAACCTGGGAGGCGGAGGTTGTGGTGAGCTGGGATTGTGCCACTGCACTCCAACCTGGCCAAGAGAGTGAGACTCTGTCTCAAAAAATTAAAAATAATAATAATTATTATTATTATTTGTGTCCTATTGGGATATTGAGCAATCACACTGGTTTTCTCCATGTGCATGGTCAAGTTAATTTGTATGCTTTTCCTCTCAATCTGCCTTATTATTAGGTGATTTTTCAGCAAACTTCCCAAAGGCGAGGGAGAAACTTCTTTGCCCCAATCGTATAAACAAGAACTAGTCACAGTTTTTCCTTTTTTTTGAGACAAGAGTCTCGCTCTGTTGCCCAGGCTGGAGTGCAGTGGCACAATCTCGGCTCACTGAAACCTCCGCCTCCCAGGTTCAAGTGATTCTCCTGCCTCAGCCTCCCAAGTAGCTGGGCCCACAGATGCCCACCACCACGCCCGGCTAAGTTTTCGTATTTTTAGTGGAGATGGGGTTTCACCGTGTTAGCCAGGATGGTCTCGAACTCCTGACCTCATGATCCACCTGCCTCAGCCTCCTAAAGTGCTGGGATTACAGGTGTGAGCCACCACGCCTGGCCTAGTCACAGTTTTTTAGCCTATGTGTAAGTGTGTGTGTGCAGACACAGTTCCCTCTTCTGAGACACAACTAAGATTCTGTTAAGGTGGTATTCTCCCTTGCTGCCGTGAATCTAAACTCAGCTTTACTTGATCAACAGTTTAATTTTCTGATCTTCTTTCAGATTTGATAGTTAACACCAACAAATGTCATTTCACTCTTACTAACAATTACCTAAATTATACGAAACTTTTTTTTCTTGGGGACAGGATCTCTCTGTGTCATCCAGGCTGGAGTGCAGTGGTGCCCTCACAGCTCCCTGCAGCTTCCATCTCCTGAGCTCAAGTGATCTTCCCACCTCAGCCTCCTGAGTCACTGAGACTACAGGCACTTGGGCACCACTGGGTCTGGCTTTTTTGGTTTTGTTGTTTTGTTTGGTCTTAAACTTCTGGGCTCAAGCAATCTTCCCACCTCAGCCTCCAAAAGTGCTGGGATTACAGGTGTGAGCCACCAAGCCCAGCCATAAAACCTTTTTTTTTTTTTTTTTGAGACGGAGTCTTGCTCTGTCGCCCAGGCTGGAGTGCAGTGGCATGATCTTGGCTCGCTGCAAGCTCTGCCTCCCAGCTTCACGCCATTCTCCTGCCTCAGCCTCCCGAGTAGCTGGGACTACAGGCGCCTGCCACCATGCCCAGCTAATTTTTTGTATTTTTCATAAAGACAGGGTTTCACTGTGTTAGCGAGGATGGTCTTGATCTCCTGACCTCGTGATCCACCTGCCTCGGCCTCCCAAAGTGCTGGGATTACAGGCATGAGCCACCATGCCCGGCCCATAAAACCTTTTTTTTAACAGCTTTATTGAGATAGGATTCAGAATCATTCAATTCGTCCATTTAAAGCATACAATTCAATGGTTTTTAGTGTATTCATAGAATTGTGCATCCATCATCACAGTCAATTTTAGACTATTTTTATCATCTCCAAAAGAAACCACATACTCTTTGGCTGTCACCCCCAATCCTTTCACCAACCCTTCCTGCCCTAAGCGCTAGGAAACCGCAAATCTACTTTCTGGGTCTATAGACTTGCCTATTCTGGGCATTTCATATAAATGGAATCAGACAATATGTAACACTTTGTGACTGCTTTTTTCATTTACCATAATTAATGTTTTCAAGGTTCGCCCAGGTTGTATAAGTACTTCATTTCTTTTCATTGTTGAATAATATTCCAATGCATACATTTTCCACCTTTTGTTTATTTGCTCACCAGCTGATGGACATGTGCATTGTTCCTCATGTTCTTTATACATCAAGGCCCAGTCCTCTATGTGAGATGGAGATTGCCTTTCAATTCTTTTTTTCTTTTAATTTATTTAGTATATATGTGTGTGTGTGTGTGTGTGTGTGTGTGTGTGTGTGTGTGTCTGTTTTGTTTTTGTTTTTGTTTTTGAGATGGAGTCTCACTCTGTTGCCCAGGCTGGAGTACAATGCCACGATCTTGGCTCATTGCAACTTCTGCCTCCCAGGTTCAAGTGATTCTTCCACCTCAGTCTCCGAAGTAGCTGGGATTAAAGGCGCAAGCCACCATGCCCGGCCAATTTTTGTATTTTTAGTAGAGACGGGGTTTCTCCATATTGGTCAGGCTGGTCTCGAACTCCTTACCTCAAGTGATCCACACGCCTCGGCCTCCCAAAGTGCTGGGATTACAGGCATGAGCCACCGTGCCCGGCCTACAATATATATTTTTAGAAGACACAGGGTCTCACTATTTTGCCCAGGCTGATCCCAAACTCCTGGGTTCAAATGATCCTCTCACCTTGGCCTTCCAAAGTGCTGAGATTACAGGTATGAGCTGCGGCTCACCCCCGGCCTGCCTTTTAATTCTTAACCTTTTTTTTTTTTTTGAGGAAGAGAGACATTTTTATCATTTTTATCACAGCTCCAAATTATTTACTGATTTGCTCATGGACATAATCCCTGCTAGAACACTATATTCTGAATGTTCAAAACAAAATGAAATAATTTCTGTTTTTACTTTTTGCAGTTAGTTTATAATACTGTCCAGAAGAAATGGTTCTGATTATACAGTTTCTCTGATTATACAGTTTCTGTTAAATTATATTGTAGGGGATCAGAATATGCCACCCCTAAATAAGGACTGTTTTGAGCTGAAGATGATTCAGGAACAGCAGATGCAAAGAAAGAGAGAAAGAGAGAAGGAAGGAAGGAAGGAAGGAACGAAGGAAGGGAGGGAGGGAGGGAGGGAAAAGAAGGAAAGAAGAAAGAGGAAAGAAAGAAAGAAAGAAAAGAAAGAGAAAGGAAGAAAGGAAGAAAAGAGAAAGAAAGAAAAAGAAAGAAAAGAAAGAAAGAAAGAAGGAAAAGAAAGAAAGACAGACAGACAAGCAGGCAGGCAAGGCCTACTCTTTCCTTCATTTGCTTAAAAACAGACTTAGATTGATAATCACTGGTGAAAACTCTAGACTCTGTCCAGGAAGACTGAGAAGAATCTGCATAAGAAACCTTACTAAAACAACCCTGATCTTCCATTTGTTTCTTCCCAGTTTGCTACCCCTGGAAGCCTGAAACCTTCACCTTTGTCTCCTCACTTCTTTACAAATTTCTTATTCTTTTGTTAAACCCAAATTCTAACCACTCCTTTGATGGCATTGTTTATCACTGAGTTTCCACATGTTTACATGTCAATCTGGTTTTTTTCAGTTTAATTTGCAGCCCCCACCCCAGGAGGGCAGAAGAAAAAGGGTTCTTTCCCTCCCTACAAGATGAGTAAGATTTTTTTTCTTTTTTGAGTTTTCTTGTTGCCCAGGCTGGAGTGAAATGGCGCAATCTTGGCTCACTGCAACCTCCGCCTCCCGGGTTCAAGCAGTTCTCCTGCCTCAGCCTGCCGAGTAACTGGGTCTACAGGTGCGTGCCACCATGCCCAGCTAATTGTTGTATTTTTAGTAGAGATGAGATTTCACTATGTTGGCCAGGCTGGTCTCGAACTCCTGACCTCAGGTGATCCACCCACCTTGGCCTCCCAACGTGCTGGGATTACAGGCGTGAGCCACTGTGTATGGCCGAGTAAGATGTTTTTAACATCAAGAGTAAGTTGTCTTACAAGTGAGAAAAATAAAATAATCAAAAGCCATCTTCAAACGAGAAGAAACATTTTTTAGGGAGACTTCAGAATGGGAGCATATGGAATTAGAACTGGGAACCCCCAAATCTGAGACAGATCTCAGTCAATTTAGGAAGTTAAGGTCCTGTGTCCATGACACAGCCTCAGAAGGTTTGTTTTGTTTTGAGAAGGAGTCTCCACTCTGTCACCCAGGCTGGAGTGCAGTGGCATGATCTCAGCTCACTGCAACCTCCACTTGAACTCCTGAGTTCAAGCGATTCTCCTACTTCAACCTCCTGAGTAGCTGGTATTACAGACGTGAGCCATCATGCTGGGCTAATTTTTGTATTTTTAGTAGAGACAGGGTTTCATCATCTTGGCCAGGCTGTTCTGGAACTCCTGGCCTCAAGCGATCTGCCATCTGGACCTCCCAAAGTGCTGGGATTACAGGTGCACAGCCAGGAGGTCTTGATGACATATGCCCAAGGTGGTCAGAGCACAACTTGGTTTTACACATTTTAGGGAGACAGGAGATGTCAATCAACATATGTAGATGAACATTGGTTCCATCTGGAAAGGTGGGACAACTAGAAGGAAAACCGGGACAACAAGAAGAGGGAAGGGGGCTTCCAGGTTATAGGTAGATAAGAGACAGATGTTCGCATTCTTTTGAGTTTCTGACTAGCCTCTCCAAAGGAGGCAATCAGATACACATTTATCTCAGTGAACAGAGGGATGACTTTGAATAGAATGGGAGGCAGGTTTGCCCTAAGCAGTTCCCAGCTTGACTTTTTTTTTTCCTTTTAGCTTAGTGATTTTGGGACGCCAAGATTTATTTTCCTTTCACACAACCTTCTTACCCCCTTTTCAGTTCCTTCATCAATGTATGATTGCTGAAGAATGAGTAAAAAGTTAATGAAGGCCGGGCGCGGTGGCTCACGCCCGTAATCCCAGCACTTTGCGAGGCTGAGGCAGGCAGATCACGAGGTCAGGAGATCAAGACCATCTTGGCTAATAGGGTGAAACCCTATCTCTACCAAAAATACAAAAAATTAGCTGGCCGTGGTGGCAGGCGCCTGTAGTCCCAGCTACTCAGGAAGCTGAGGCAGGGGAATCGCTTGAACCCGGGAGCCAGAGGTTACAGTGAGCCGAGATCGCATCACTGTATTCCAGCCTGGGTGACAGAGCGAGACTCCGTCTCAAAAAAAAAAAAAAAAAAGTTAATGAAGTATAGGAGACATCCTTTCTTACTCGTAACTTCAAAATACACAAAATAGCAGTGTGAGGCAGTGTTATCTTCTTGCCTGTGTTTATAACCTGACTCTGACACTTGTCATCCATGTGTCTTTGGGCAAATTATTTTATGTATTATTTTTATCTCTTTTTTGATTTTTGATTTTTTTTGGTTGGAGGGTGGGGTGGAGTGGCCAGAGTCTTGCTCTGTTGCCCAGGCTGGAGTACAGTGATGTGATCTCTGCTCGCTGCAACCTCCACCTCCCAGGTTCAAGCGATTCTCCTGCCTCAGCCTCCTGAGTAACTGGGGCTACAGGTGCGGGCCATCACGCCCAGCTAATTTGTTTATTTTGTATTTTTAGTACAGACAGAGTTTTACCATGTTGCCCAGGCTAGTCTCAACCCCTGGCCTCAAGTGATCCACCCTTTTCAGCCTCCCAAAGTGCTAGGATTACAGGCATGAGCCACCGCACCTGGCCTGGGCAAATTATATAACCCTTCTTGGCCTCAGCTGTCTTCATCTAAAACAGGATTATAATACAGGCTTGTTGCGAGAATTATATGTTTCACAACATGTGGGCATCAGTATAAGGAAAAGGCATGAAATCACATGAGAAAGTATCTTTAAATTCTTTTCAATTTCATGCAATTGAATCAAGAAGAGTCCTGGTCTGTGCTAATAAGATTGTTCATTAATACCTCTCTAAAACATTCCAAAGACAGGGAGAGTGAGTAATCATCTGCCTAAATTTTTTAAATAATTCTGATTTAGCATTTATTAATTTGAATAAACTTACTCCACCCTCTCCAGGCTCCTTACTCCCGAATTCTGTTCCACTGTCTAGGCTTTAGGTCAGGCTCAAGGACAAGTTATTTAGATTTTATTTCTATCTTCTGCCTTTAAAAACATAGATAAAATTGTCCTTGGTCTCAGGGGTAAACAAAATCAAGCTATAAACTGAATATTGCTCTCCAGCCAGGGTGTCCCACTGTCTTAGCAAAAAACTGGAAGGAAGGGAACAGATAAATGGATGGGGACTGTAAACAACCAAATATTTTTCATTTTCTAGAAGTGGGAAATCATCCAAAAGGTGCAAATATTTGGTTAGGTGTTTACATTTTCATGCTCCATTGTTGATGTTGTGGAACTAGGAGCAAGCTAATACTAGGAACAAGATAATACTGTGGACTGCAACAGCCAAAACTCTTGGCTTTCTGTGGCCCGGGTTATTTGCTCTTTCTTTCTTCCTTCCTCCTGCTCCTCTGCTGTAAGCACCCCCATCTTCCAGCTTTCCCAGTGAAGTGCCTTCTCCTTAGGGCCTTCCTTCTTAAAGAGTGAATGTGCTTCCCTCTCGACCATTATAGGGTGCACTCCAGGCAAAACCTGTCTTTTTTTTTTTTTTTTTTTTTTTTTGAGACTGAGTCTCGCTCTGCTGCCAGGCTGGAGTGCGGCGGTGCGATCTCGGCTCAATCTCCGCCTCCCGGGTTCAAGCTATTCTCCTGCTTCAGCCTCCTGAGTAGCTGGGACTACAGGCGCGCACCACTACGCCTGGCTAATTTTTTGTATTTTAGTAGAGACAGGGTTTCACCATGTTGGCCATGGTGGTCTGGAGCTCCTGACCTCGTGATCCGCCTGCCTCGGCCTCCCAAAGTGCTGGGATTACAGGCGTAAGCCACTGCCCCCGGCCTTAAAATTATTTTTAAAAAATAGAGATGGGGGGAGGGGGGCGTCCCACTATGTAGCCCAGGCTAGTCTGGAACACCTGGGTTCAAGCAATCCTCCCACCTCAGCCTCCCAAAGTGCTGGGATTTTAAGTTGTGAGCCACCATGCTTGGCTAAAACATGTCTTTATATGCCCCAGTTTTATCTTAAATTTTTTGTGCAGATTTGCATTCTGTTCTAACGTATACTCCTGTTCGTTTCATTTTATTTTATTAATTATAAAAAATAC
The DNA here is from genome assembly GCF_000001405.40 of Homo sapiens. Lineage (NCBI taxonomy): Eukaryota > Metazoa > Chordata > Mammalia > Primates > Hominidae > Homo > Homo sapiens. The sequence goes on along the minus strand of NC_000012.12, from coordinate 32,009,963 downwards.
AGGGCCGGGGGCGGTGGCTCATGCCTGTAATCCCAACACTTTGGGAGGCCGAGATGGGTGGATCACCTGAGGTCAGGAGTTTGAGACCATCTGACCAACATTGTGAAACCCTGTCTGTACTAAAAATACAAAATTAGCCAGGTGTGGTGGCATGTGCCTGTAATCCGAGCTACTTGGGAGGCTGAGGCAGGAGAATCGCATCAACCCGGGAGGCGGGGATTGCAGTGAGCTGAGATCGCGCCATTGCACTCCCATTTTGGGCAACAGGTGTGAAACTCCGTCTCAAATAAATAAATAAATATGCCGGGAGCGGTGGCTCACGCTGTAATCCCAGCACTTTTGGGAGGCCGAGGCGGGCGGATCACGAGGTCATGCTTTTGAGACCATCCTGGCTAACACGGTGAAACCCCGTCTCTACTAAAAACACGAAAAATTAGCCAGGCGTGGAGGCGGGCGCCTGTAGTCCCAGCTACTCAGGAGGCTGAGGCAGGAGAATCGCTTGAACCTGGGAGGCGGAGGTTGCAGTGAGCCGAGATCGTGCCACTGCACTCCAGCCTGGGCGACACAGCAAGACTCTGTCTCATAAAAAATAAAAATAAATAAATAAATAAATAAATAAATAAATAAATAAATAATAGAGATGAGGTCTCCCTATATTTGACAGGTTGGTTGAACTCTGGGCCGCAAACAATCCTCCTACCTTGGCCTCCCAAAGTGCTAGGATTACAGGTGTAAGCCACCACACCCGGCCTCGTGTGTGTTTTCATTTTAAATTCATAAACCTTCAGGAAAAATTTTTCCCAGGTTTATTAAGGCATAATTGAGAACAATTATATATATTTAAGCTGTACAACATCAAAATTTGGTACACGTTGTGAAATGATTACCACAACCAAACTAATTGATATATTCTTTACATCACAGAGTTACTTTTTTTTTTTTTTTTTTTTTTTGAGACGGAGTTTCGCTCTTGTTGCCCAGGTTGGAGTGCAACAGCACTATCTTGGCTCACCGCAACCTCCACCTCCCGGGTTCAAGTGATTCTCCTGCCTCAGCCTCCCTAGTAGCTGGGATTACAGGCATGTGCCACCACACCCGGCTAATTTTGTATTTTTAATAGAGACGGGGTTTCTCCATGTTGGTCAGGTTGGTCTCGAACTCCCGACCTCCGGTGATCCGCCCACCTCAGCCTCTCAAAGTGCTGGGATTACAGGCATGAGCCACCGTGCCTGGCCTTTTTTTTTTTTTTTTTTTTTGAGACAGAGTCGCAGAGTGCAGTGGCTCAATCTCGGCTCACTGCAATCTCTGCCTCCCAGGTTCAAACGATTCTCATGCCTCAGCCTCCTAGCTGGGGTCACAGGCATGTGCCACCACACCCAGCTAATTTTTTGTATTTTTAGTAGAGACGGGTTTTTGCCATGTTGCCCAGGCTGGTCTCGAACTCCTGAGCTCAGGCAACCCACCCACCTCAGCCTCCCAAAGTGCTAAGACTACAGGCCTGAGCCACTGCACCTGGCTGCTGCCTTTTTTATAATAGCCATCCTAACAGGTGTGAGGTGATACTCATTGTAGTTTTGATTTGCATTTCCCTGATAATTAATGATGTTGAGCACCTTTTCATACACCCGTTGGCCATTTGTGTATCTTCTTTGGTAAAAGGACTATTCAGGTCTTTGCTCATTTTTCAGTTGGGTTATTTGGTTTTCTGCCATTGAGCTATGTGAGTTTCTTACATAATATTTGAGATATTTGAGCTTGGAAGTGGACATAAAAGAAAAATAAAGAAAAAAGAAAAAAAATTTTGAGATATTAACCCCTTATCAGATATACAGATTGTAAATATTTCTCCTATTCCATAGGTTGCCTTTTCATTTTGTCGATTGTTTCCTTTGTTGTGCAGAGGTTATTTAATTTGATGTAATCCCAGGAAAAAAAAATGTAAACTTTTTCTTTCAAATCTTTCAATCTAATTAATGCATTAGAAAGTTGCCACCTCCCACAATGGTCTGTGATCCAGACTTCAACAGACCTCAAGGAATACACCAGGAGTTAAAGTTACAGAGCAGGCCAGGCGCGGTGGCTCATGCCTGTAATCCCAGCACTTTGGGAGGCTGAGGTGGGCGGATCACTTGAGGCCAGGAGTTCAAGACCAGCCTGGACAACATGGCGAAACCTCATCTCTACTAAAAACACAAAAATTAGCTGGGCGTGGTGGTGCATGTCTGTAATCCCAGCTATTTGGGAGGCTGAGGCATAAGAATCACTTAAACCTGGGATGTGAAGGTTGCAGTGAACTGAGATGGTGCCACTGCACTCCAGTCTGGGTGAAGGAGAAAGACTCCTTCTCAATATGTTAGCCAGGATGGTCTTGATCTCCTGACCTTGTGATCCGCCCGCCTCGGCCTCCCAAAGTGCTGGGATTACAGGTGTGAGCCACCACACCCGGCCTCCTGAGTCCATTATTTAAGGGGATTTATACTATAAATGACTTCCATGAATATGAGAGGTCCTGAGTGTTATCTGTTTGCTTACTTGCTTTTGGGACGTTTCTATAGACTTTTCTTTGTAGGAATTCCAGTTTTTCTGGATTCTTCACTCTTCTTCATGTATGCCATTTTGCATTCTTCCTAAAAGGTTGGATTATAGTAAGTGGTTAGACGTTCTTTCAATGCAGACTTTTATTTTTGGCATTTTACTAACATAAAGATTCTAGAGTTCTTGCAACAGTTGGCAAAATCTGGAACTGGCTCAGAACACCTCTCTCTGTCCTGTTTTCTCATTATTTTAGGGCTCAAAATATCTTTTTCTCAACATGGCTGCTCTCCAGGATCAAGCACTGTCTCCACAAGACAGAGAAGGCAGCCCCTTGGCAGCTCTGGGGCTTGTTTTTTTCAAATAAATAAAAGTAGCCACTTGGAAAAAAAAAAACAAAGTTCCGGCCGGGTGCGGTGGCTCAGCCTGTAATCCCAGCACTTTGGGAGGCCAAGGCGGGGGGATCACAAGGTCAGGAGATCGAGACCATCCTGGCTAACACAGTGAAACCCCGTCTCTACTAAAAATACAAAAAAATTAGCCGGGCGTGGTGGCGGGCGCATGTAGTCCCAGCTACTGGGGAGGCTGAGGCAGGAGAATGGCTTGAACCCGGGAGGTGGAGCTTGCAGTGAGAGGAGATCGCACCACTGCACTCCAGCCTGGGCGACAGAGCAAGACACCATCTCAAACAAACAAACAAACAAAAAAACAAAGTTCCTGTCCTCATAGATTTAAATTTAAATTCTAGTAGGAGAGAACAATAAACAAATAAACTTATTAATCCTCCACTGAGGATTGTGTTAGACACTGTGAGAAAAAATAAATCAGCCCAAGGATGCGGGTGTAACCTGTATCAGGTGGCCAGAGAAGGTATCTCTGAAAAATGACATTTGGGGCCTGTATGAAGGGAGTGTCTATGTAGCTATCTAGGCAGATATTGTTCCAGACAGACAGATAAGTCTGTGCAAAGGCCTCGAGGTAGAGTCTGCTTAGAACATTTGAGGGCCAGATACAGTGGCCGACACCTGTAATCCCAGCACTTTGGGAGGCGAGGTGGGCGAATCACCTGAGGTCGGGAGTTCGAGACCAGCCTGACCAACATGGTGAAACCCCGTCTCTACTAAAAATACAAAATTAGCTAAGCATGATGAATGCGTGCCTGTAATCCCAGCTACTCAGGAGGCTGAGGTCGGAGAATCGCTTGAACCCGGGAGGCAGAGGTTGCAGTGAGCTGAGATCGTGCCATTGCACTCCAGCGTGGCGACAGAGTGAGACTCCATCTCAAAAAAAAAAAAAAAAGAAGGAGAACACTTGAGGGCTGCAAAAAAGGCCAGTGTAACTGAAGTGAAGTAAACTTACACAAATGTCCACTGCATCCGTGAGAAGAAACTTAGAGCTTTGGAATGGGCCCTAGACACGAGCTATTTGACATATAGCCAGATATTAATCATTGTTACTGCTAATGGATGGGATTTTAGATGATTTTTAATTTCTTTTGAACTTTCCACGTCATCTTCTGAAGGCCTAATCCCTTTGGAATTAGATGATACAACAAACTTTAAAAATCGTAGAGTGAAACTCGTTTTTTTTATAGGTGAAGAAACTGAAGAAGAGAACTTATGCTTCTAGATGTTGCAGAAGCTTAAATTCCGGTTGCCTGAGGCCTAGTCCAGGGGGTCGTGGCAGCAGCAGGCTGAGACCGATAAGCCTCACCAGCCTCCTGAAGGTGCTTACTGATCATGTGCCAGGACACTCTTATCATCAACAGGCATGCGGCAACTGGAGGGCAGTGGTTAAGACAGCAGGTCAGCAACAGAGATAAGCCAAGACAGAAAAAAGCTGGGGAAGAATCCTTCTGTCCACAGGAGCTTTTGGAATTTTTTTTGTTTTTTAGACGGCGTCTTGTTTTGTTGCCCAGGCTGGAGTGCAATGGAGCAATCTCGGCTCACTGCAACCTCTGCCTCCTGGGTTCAAGCGTTCTCCTGCCTCAGCCTCCCGAGTAGCTGGGATTACAGGAGCCTGCCACCACGCCCAGCTAATATATATATATACATATATATATACACACATATATATACATATATATACATATATATACACATATATACATATATATACACACATATATATACATATATACACACATATACATATATACACATATATATACATATATACACATATATATACATATATACACACATATATACATATATACACATATATACATATATACATATATACACATATACACATATACACATATACACATATATCTACACATATATATACATATATATGCACATATATACATATATACACATATATATACATACATATATATATATATATATATATATATATTTTTTTTTTTTTTTTTTTTTTGAGACAGAGTTTCGCTCTTGTTGCCCAGGCTGGAGTGTAGTGGCGCGATCTCGGCTCACTGCAACCTCCGCCTCCCAGGTTCAAGCGATTCTCATGTCTCAGCCTCCAGAGTAGCTGGGATTACAGGCACTCGCCACCACACCCGGCTAATTTTTTGTATTTTTAGTAGAGATGGGGTTTTACCATGTTGACCAGGCTGGTCTCGAACTCCTGACCTTAGGTGATCCGCCCACCTCGGCCTCCCAAAGTGCTGGGATTACAGGCATGAGCCACTGCATCCAGCCCGGGTTTTGGAATTTCATCTGGTATGAGAAGGCCAGAAAAGTGGGACTCCTCCAAGTCATTGTAATTAAATGTAGTTGTAGCTAAGCCTCCTAAAAATGTGTGCTAAAACTTGCCCATCAGTAGGCCCTCAGCATAGCAAAGGAAGAAGTTGTGTTTTCTTTTCTTTTCTTTTTTTTTTTTTTTTTTGAGAGGGAGTCTCACTCTGTCGCCAGGCTGGAGTGCAATGGCGCTATCTCGGCTCACTGCAACCTCTACCTCCCGAGTTCAAGTGATTCTCCTGCCTTAGCTTCCTGAGTAGCTGGGATTACAGGCATGTGCCACCATTCCTGGCTAATTGTGTATTTTTAGTAGAGACAGGGTTTCACCATGCTGGCCAGGCTGGTCTTGAACTCCTGGCCTCAGGTGATCCTCCCACCTCGGCCTCCCAAAGTGCTGGGATTACAGGCGTTAGCTGCCATGCCTGGCCAAAAGGAATGAAATATTGATACATACTACAACACAGATAAGCCTTGAAAACATTATGCTAAATGAAAAGAGCCAGATGCAAAAGGTCACATATTACATGATTTTATTAATATAAAATGCACAGAATATGTAAATTGATAGAGACAGAAAGTAGCTTAGTGGTTGTCAGGTGCTAGGGGTAGGGTGGTGTGAATGGAAAGTGAACTGCTAATGGATATGGAGTTTCTTTTGGAGATGATGAAAATCTGCTGAAATTAGATAGTGTTGATGGTTGTACAACTTTATAAATATACTAAAAAATATCACTGAATTGTATGCTTTATATGTATGTCTGAATTATGTTTCTTTTCTTTAAAAAGGGAAAATGTTGGCTGGGTGCAGTGGCACACACCTGTAATCCAAGCACTTTGGGAGGCCAAGGCAGGTTGATTGCTTGAACCCAGGAGTAGGAGACCAGCCTGGGCAACATAGTGAGACCCCTTCTCTACTAAAACCACAAAAATAAGCTGGGGGTGGTGGCGCATGTTTGTAGTCCCAGCTACTTGGGAGGCTGAGGTGGGAGGATTACTTGAGCCTGGGAGGTTGAGGTTGCAGTGAGCTGTGCTCACACCACTGCACTCCAGCCTGGGTAACACAGCAACTCCTCAAATAAATAAATTAAAATAAAAAGGGAAAAAGTGAAAGGGGCCATTCCAAACCTCCACCCCTTGGTTATTCGGTTCATGCGGTATTTGGCTATGCGGGAGACGTCACCAAATATTAGCTACTGGCTTAAGTCATATATTCATTCTGTAAGACAGCCTTCTAATCCTCCAGCTAATTTTCTCCAGCTAATGTAGTAACTAAGCTGTTAGCAGGCATTCTGCCATTTTGTCAAGTCAGATGCTTCTGGGTCCTTGGGGCTTGTGGTAGTGCTAGTAAATTGTATCAGTGTAATTCTCTCTCATCGTGTCCTTCACTGTAGACAGGTTGCTTAGTGATTTGTATGGAATATCACAGCAATGAATAGGCCTTCTGCTTAGTGCCAGCAGGACCATTTCTGGCAGGCAAATTCATATTTGGAATGTTTCTATTCCCAAAGGCACAAATTGCTTCTCCTTCTGTGTAGAAAGGGTCCAATGTATCAATCTACCACCAAGAGGCTCATTGGTTCCCTGGAGAATGGTGTGATCAGTCAGGGGCCCAGCATAGCCTTGACTCTTGGTGCATGGGCAGAGAAGCCTCAGTGAGAAGTCCATGCAGACCTCCTTTCTTGTTGCCATGGCACTTTATAAATGGGCCTATTAAGCACCAGGGTGGCTGGGGAAAAAGGCTGACATCCATAGGACTAGCTATCTTACCCATCTGATTGAGAGCCTACTCTGCAGTAGATGCCAAACAGGACATTTTCTACATATGTTCCAGTAGTTATTTACCATTGCTTTTTGCCTGTCTGCACTATGCCAGTTTGCAGATGCTATGAAGTACTACCTTTGCTTTTCATTTAATCATGCCCCAGAATTTGCTCTTGTAAAGGGTGTGGTGTATTATATCACAGTATAGATAACTCAAAAGCTATCTATTTATTTACTTAATTTTTTATTGAGGCAGTGTCCTACTATGTTGTCCAGGCTGGTCTCAAGCTCCGATGCTCAAGGGATCCTCCCACTTCACCCTCCTGAGTAGCTGGGATTTTAAAGCCTCTTAAAAGAATTATTCTCATGTGCTTCTGGTAGCAAGATATGAGGTTGGCTTTATCACTGTCTCTTAGGGTCATCTCTAAGTGAGGCTATGTAATACTTCCAGCTGGAGCCAGCATACTGTGCAGACCAATTCATAAACCAGGACTTGTCTTGGTTTATTCCCATTGGTTTATATCCATTCGTGTCTTCTCTCATGAAGCCTTATATGTGGACTGAGGGAAAGCCAGAGAAACAGAAGGAAGAGGTGTTATGGAACCCCGAGCAAGCTACTTGATTTTTTTTTTTTTTTTTTTTTTGAGATGGAGTCTTGCTGTGTCGCCCACGCTGGAGTGCAGTGGCACGATCTCGGCTCACTGCCACCTCCGCCTCCCAGGTTCACGCCATTCTCCTGCCTCAGCCTCCCGAGTAGCTGGGACTACAGGCGCCCGCCACCATGCCCGGCTAATTTTTTTGTAGTTTTAGTAGAGACAGGGTTTCACTGGGTTAGCCAGGGTGGTCTCCATCTCCTGACCTCGTGATCCGCCCACCTCAGCCTCCCAAAGTGCTGGGATTACAGGCGTGAGCCACCGTGCCCGGCCGCTTGTATGTTTTAATTGTGTCCTCAGGAACTGCTTGGGCTAGTCTTACATATACATTTTCATTTAACAATGAAATGCTGCTGCATGAGTCAAATTTTATGGTTTTTGGAATCAGATGACATCAAATTCATCAACAGTTCAGGTTTTACAATTTGTGTTCAAATGGAATGTACTTGTCAGAAAAGGTCATAGGGGGTTTACTAGGATTCTCCTAAAAGCAAGAGGTTTCACACACAGTAGAAATTCCCTGTACCATTGGGCCTGCTGGGCCATTAGGCCCAAGGGGCAGGGCAGCTTGCACCACAGCCTGGTCCTGCTGTGGAGCCTTTGCTTGCTTGAGGCCTCACATAAAATTAGAGCTGTGTGGGCCGGGTGCGGTGGCTCACACCTGTAATCCCAGCACTTTGGGAGGCCGAGGCGGGCAGATCACGAACTCAGGAGGTCGAGACCATCCTGGCTAACATGGTGAAACCCCGTCTCTACTAAAAAATACAAAAAAATTAGCTGGGTGTGGTGGCGGGTGCCTGTAGCCCCAGCTACTCAGGAGGCCAAGGCAGGAGAATGGCGTGAACCCAGGAGGCGGAGCTTGCAGTGAGCTGAGATGGGGCCACTGCACTCCAGCCTGGGCGAGAGAGCGAGACTCCATCTCAAAAAAAAAAGAAATTAGAGCTGTGTGTGTGTTACCTGATAAATTGCTTAGGGTGACACGTCCATAAGGTGGCATGTCCATAGATGGTGTATGTTCCCTCCAAACTTCACACAGGCTCATCAAACATTTCTCTTTGTGGTAGATGGTACAATATACACAAGACTACAATCAGACCCTAAAAACCTTACGAATGTGGTCAATCATGAATTTTTATTCAAGATTTCCTTCCCATCCCGTCATGCATGTGTTTTATTAAGTCTTGTAGGATGTTTATTATTTTCTGCTTGTCAGGTCCAATTAGCATAATATCATCAAAGAAACGGACCAACGTTGTGTGGGCTATCAAGATGACAAAATCCACTCTATTATAACAGAAAGCAGGATACAGCCAGGCATGGTGGCTTATGCTTGTAATCCAGCACTTTGGGAAGCTGACATGGGAGGATTGCTTGAGCCTGACCAGACTGGGCAACACAGGGAGACCTCATTTCTCTAAAAAATAAAAAATTATCCAAGGATGGTGGTGCACGCCTGCAGTCCCAGCTACTCAGGAGGCTGAGGTGGGAGGATCACTTGAGCCCAGAAGGTCAAGGCTGCAGTGAGCTGTGACCACACCATTGCACTCGAGTCTGGGTGGCACAGCAAGACCGTGTCTCCAAAAAATAAAAACAACAACGAAAGAATCACTAGACATTTATATTTTATTTTAAAAAAGGTAGAATATTCGAAGGCAGATATCTAAGCTTAAAGTAGCTACAGCCAAGTATACTAAACGTTAATGGTCCATGTCCTAGAGGTTGAAAGATTCATAATCAGGAGAATACAAGGCAACCAGGTGCTGAGTCAGCCCACAGGGGAATGCAGATAAGACCTCAGGCAGGCTTTAACAGGGTCTTAAAGATAAAATAACTATCCTGTCTAGGCACAAGCTTATAGGAATCCCAATGACAGAGATACACATTTTTATTTTTTTGAGACAGAGTCTCACTCTCTCGCCCAGGCTGGAGGGCAGTGGCGCGATCTTGGCTCATTGCAAGCTCTGCCTCCCGGGTTCACACCATTCTCCTGCCTCAGCCTCCCGAGTAGCTGGGGCTACAGGCGCCCACCACCACACCTGGCTAATTTTTTTTTTTTTTACATTTTTTAGTAGAGACGGGGTTTCACCATATGAGCCAGGATGGTCTCCATCTTCTGACCTCATGATCCGCCTGTCTCAGCCTCCCAAAGTGCTGGGATTGAGCCACCGTGCCCAGCCGTGCCTGGCTAATTTTTGTATTTTTAGTAGACACAAGGTTTTGCCATGTTGGCCAGGCTGGTCTCAAAACTCCTGACCTCAGGTAATCTACCCACCTCAGCCTCCCAAAGTGCTGGGGTTACAGGCGTAAGCCACGCCACCCAGCCTCCAGAAACTTTTAAAAAGCACATTTCCTAATATTTATGCCCTTGGATAACCCCCTTGAGTATGGGCTGGAATTCTGTGACTCACTTCTAGCAAATAGAAAGTAGCAAAATTGACACATCATTTCAGAGATTAGGTTAGAGACTGACTTTGGGACCGGGCATAGCGGCTCACCCCTGTAATCCCAACACTTCGAGAGGCTGAGGTGGGCAGATTGCTTGAGCCCAGGAGTTCACCATCCTGGGCAACATGGCGAAACCCTATTATCTACAAAAAAACTCCCAAAATACAAAAATTAGCAGGCCAGTGGCATGGGCCTGTGGTCCCAGCTACTTGTGCGGCTAGAGTGGGAGGACTGTCCAAGCCCAGGAGGCAGGGGTTGCAGTGAGCCAAGATCGCACCACTGCACCCCAGCCTGGGTGAGAGAGACCCTATCTCCAAAAAAGTATTTATTTTTACAACCTTAAAAACTGAAGAATACCAAGATATATTTATCAATATCGATTCCATGAGAACTTGAAACAAATTTTGAAGATACTTCATTTTAAAATGATGAACCCATTACATTCATATAATTTTTTTTTTTTGAGACTGAGTCTCACTGTCTCCCAGGCTGGAGTGCAGTGGCGCGCAGTCTCAGCTCACTACAACCTCTGCCTCAGACTCCTGAGCAGCTGAGACTACAGGCACGTGCCATCACACCCAGTTAACTTTTGTATTTTTGTTTGTTTTTTTGAGACAGTCTCACTCTGTCGCCCAGGCTGGAGTGCAGTGGCTTGATCTTGACTCACTGCAACCTCTGCCTCCTGAGTAGCTGGGACTACAGGCCCAAGCCACCACGCCCAGCTAATTTTTGTATTTTTAGTAGAGACGGGGTTTCACCATGTTGGCCAGGCTGGTCTCGAACTCCTGACCTCGTGATTCACCAGCCTTGGCCTCCCAAAGTGCTGGGATTACAGGCATGAGCCACCGAGCCCACCAATGTTTGTATTTTTAGTAGGGACAGGGTTTCACCATTTTGGCCAGGCTAGTCTCAAACCTCTGACCTTAGGTGATCCACCCAGCTCGGCCTCCCAAAGTGTTGGGATTACAGGCGTGAGCCACTGCACCCAGCCAAATAAATGTTTATGAAAAATACTTACCAGGAGAATGAGAAAAGATTGGCAGTTTTATATTTTTACAAATCTGACTTAAAAATATATACAGTACATAATACTTGACAATGATAAATGACTGTTACTGGTTTGTGTTTAGTATGTTATGCTTTTTATGTAGGTTAATTTATTCCTACTTATTTTTTTTTTAGACGAAGTCTCACTCTGTCGCCAGGCTGGAGTGTAGTGGTGTGATAGCTCGCTGCAACCTCCGCCTCCTGGGTTCAAGTGATCCTTCTACCTCAGCCTCCCGAGTAGCTGGGACTACAGGCATACACCACCATGCCCAGCTAATTTTTTGTACTTTTAGTAGAGATGGGGTTTCACCATGTTGGCCAGAATGGTCTCAATCTCCTGACCTCGTGATTCGCCTGCCTCGGCCTCTCAAAGTGTTGGGATTACAGGCGTGAGCCACTGTGCCCAGCTTCCTACTTTTTAAAAAACTAAAAAATATTTTTAAATTTAAATAAATTAAAAAATAGGCTTGGGTGCGGTGGCTCACACCTGTTGTCCCAGCTACTCGGGAGGCTGAAGCAGGAGAATTGCCTGAACCTGGGAGGCATAGGTTGCGGCAAGCCAAGACTGCGCCACTGCACTCCAGCCTGTGCGACAAAGCGGGGCTCCGTCTCAAAAACAAAACAAAACAAAAACTATAAAACAGCCTCAGCCAGGTCCTTCAGGTGTTCCAGAAGGCACTGTTATCACAGGAGATGACAGCTCCATGCGTGTTACTGCCCTTGGTGACCTTCCAATGGGGCAAGATGTAGAGGAGGAAGACAAGTGATACTGATGATCCTGACTACGTGGAAGCCAAGGTTAATGTTTTCCTGGTTCTGTTTTTTTTTTTTTTTGGTTGGGGGGGGGGGTGGAGACAGGGCTGAAGTAATCCTCCCACCTCAGCCTCCCAAGTAGCTGGCATTACAGGTGCACACCACCAAACCTGGCTAATTTTTGTACTTTTGGTAGAGACCGGGTTTCAGCATGTTGTACTGGTCTTGAACTCTTGGACTCAAGCAATACTGCTCACCTTGGCCCACCAAAGTGCTGGGATTACAGGCATGAGGCACTGTGTCCAGTCATCTCCTGACCTTGGTGAGCCACTGTGCCCATCTTTTAGTTTTCAATTTGAAAAAAAGTTAAAAAAAAATTTAATAAAAAAGAGCTTATACAAAAAGTATAAAGAAAATTTTGAAAAGGCTGGGTGTGGTGGCTCACACCTGTAATCCCAGCACTAGGAGGCCGAGGCGGGCAGACCACCTGAGATCAGGAGTTCGAGACCAGCCTGGCCAACACGGTGAAACCCCATCTCTACTAAAAATACAAAAATTACCTGGGCGTGGTGGCAGATGCCTGTAATACCAGCTACTCAGGAGGCTGAGACAGGAGAATCACTTGAACCCAGGAGGTGGAGGTTGCAGTGAGCCAAGATCACGCCAGTACACTCAAGCCTAGGTGACAGAGCAAGGCTCTGTCTCAAAAAAAAAGTTTGTACAGCTCTACAGTGTGCTTGTGTTTTAAGCCATGTTATTACGAGTTAAAAAGCTAAAAATTTGGCGGCTGGGCACAGTGGCTAACACCTGTAATCCCAGCACTTTATTATGGGAGGCCCAGGCGGGAGGATTGCTTCAGCCCATGAGTTTGAGACTGTTTTGGGAAACATGGCAAAACCCTGTCTCTACCAGAAATACAAAATTAGCAGTTTCTTAACCCTGTCTTGAAATGAATAAAAAAAATTACAATTAATGGCCTGATGCAGTGGCCCATGCCTGTAATCCCAGCACTTTGGGAGGCTGAGATAGGTGGATCACCTGAGGTCAGGAGTTCGAGACCAGCTTGGCCAACATGGTGAAACTATCTTTAGTTAAAATACAAAAATTAGCTGGGCGTGGTGGCACATACCTGTTAATCGCAGCTACTTGGGAGGCTGAGGCAGGAGAATAGCTTGAGCCTGGGAGGCAGAGGTTGCAGTGAGCTAAGATTGTGCCACGGCACTCCAGCCTGTATGGGAGGCAGAGCAAAACTCCGTCTAAAAAAAACAAAAAAACAACCAAAACCAAAATTAAAATTAAGTTAAAAGTTTAAAAAGTTAATATAGTTACCATAAGCTAAATTCTATTTAAGTTTTAAAGAATAAATTTAGTTACTAAAAATTAGCTGGACATGCTGGATCGTGCCTGTGTTCCCAGCTACCCTGGAGGCTGATGTGGGAGGACTGCTTGAAACAGGGAGGCGGAGGTTTCAGCAAGCTGAGACTACAGCACTGCATTTCAACCTGGGTAACAGAGACCCCGTTTTGCAGTAAAAAATAAAAATAAATTTAGGGTCGCCTAAGTGTACAGTGTTCATAAAGTTGATAGTAGTATACAGTAATGTCTTAGGCCTTCACATTCACTTGCTCAGACCAATTCACTGACTTGCAAGCAACTTCCAGTCCTGCAAGCGCTATTCATGGTTCATATTAAGTGCCCAATACAGGTACATCATTCATTCATTAAGATGGAGTTTTGTTCATGTAGCCCAACCTGGAGTGCAGTGGCACAACGTCAGCTCACTGCAACCTCCACCTCCCAGGCTCAAGTGATTCTCCTGCCTCAGCCTCCCAAGTAGCTGGGATTACAGGCATGCGCCAACACACCCAGCTAATTTTTGTATTTTTAGGAGAGCAGAGGTTTCACCATATTGGCCAGGCTGGTCTCGAACTCCTGACCTCAGGTGATCCACCCGCCTTGGCCTACCAAAGTGCTGGGTTTACAGGTGTGAGCCACTGTGCCCGGCATCATTTTTTTTTATACTGCATTTTTACAGTAGCTTTTCTATGCTTGAAGACCCAAATACTTAACTATTGTTATAATTCCCTACAGCATTCAGTACAGTAACATGATGTCCACATTTGTAGCCTATAAGCAATAAGATACACCATAGTGATTAGGTATGCAGTAGGACATCTAGGTTGACTACACCTTATTAGAGATACTTGGGACTGAAAATATTTCAGATATTTTTGGATCTTGGAATATTTGCATTATACTCACCACCTAAGCATCCTTAATCCAAGGATGCAAAATCCAAAATGCTCAAATGAGTATTTCCTTTGAGTATCACATTGGCATTCAAAGTTTCAGATTTTGGAACATTTTGGATTTTATTCTTTTTTTGAGACAGAGTTTTGCTTGTGTTGCCCAGGCTGGAGTGCAATGGCGTGATCTCGACTCGCTGCAACCTCCGCCTCCGGGGTTCAACCAATTCTCTTGCGTCAACCTCCTAAGTAGCTGGGATTACAGGGATCTGCCACCACACCATGCTAATTGTGTATTTTTAGTAGAGATGGGGTTTCACCATGTTGGTCAGGCTGGTCTTGGAACTCCTGACCTCAGGTGGTCTGCCCGCCTTGGCCTCCCAAAGTGCTGGGGTTTACGGGCATGAGCCACTGTGCCCAGCTCTGGATTTTAGATTTAGGATATTCAACCTGTACCATCTAGGTTTACACAAACCTAGTACATTCTAGGATAGTCACACAAGACCAAAATTGGCCAGGTGCAGTGGCTCATACCTGTAATCCCAGCACTTTGGGAGGCCAAGGCAGGCAGATCACCTGAGGTGAATCAATCTTTTATTTTGGCATGACAATATTTATAGATTTTTACTATTTAAAAAATGAAGTAGGCTGGGCGTGGTGGCTCATGTCTGTAATCCCAGCACTTTGGGAGGCTGAGGCGGGCAGATCACTTGAGGTCAGGAGTTCAAGACCAGCCTGGCCAACATGGTGAAACTCTGTCTCTACTAAAAATACTTTAGCAAGGCATGGTGGTGTGTGCCTGTAATCCCAGCTACTCGGGAGGCTGAAGCAAAATTGCTGGAGCCCAGGAGGCGGAAGTTGCAGTGAGTGGAGATCGTGCTACTGCACTCCAGCCTGGGCAAAAGAATGAGACTCCATTTAAAAAAAAAAAAAAAAATCACCTAGAGATGTATTTCTCAGAACATATCCCTGTCATTAAATGACAGAGGACCGTAGTTGTTTCCTAAAGGTTGGTTGTAATATGAAAGCTAAAAGCACAAAAAATTGCAATGTTTCATTAAAATCCATTGGTCTACCTTGTACATAGTTTTCAAATGAAAATTTTATATATATATATACAACATTAAGATTTTATAAAAATAACCAACATGCTCTGGGCGTGGTAGCTCACATCTGTAATCCCAGGACTTTGGGAGGCCAAGGCCAAAGGATTACTTGAGCCCAGGAGTTCAAGACCAGTCTGGACAACAGGGTAGAATCTCATGTCTCCAAAAATGTATGTATTTTTAAATTATGTGCTCAGGGTTGGGCAAGATGGCTCACGCCTGTAATCCCAGCACTTTGGGAGGCTGAGGCAGGCAGATCACGAGGTCAGGAGTTCAAGACCATCCTGACGACCAACATGGTGAAACCCCGTCTCTACTAAAAATACAAAAATTAGCTGGGCGTGGTGGCGGGCACCTGTGATTCCAGCTATTCGGCAGGAGAATCCTTGAACCCGGGAGGCGGAGGTTGCAATGAGCCAAGATGGCGTCACTGCACTCCAGCCTTGGCGACAGAGCAAGCCTCCGTCTCAAAAAAAAACAAACAGGCTGGACCCAGTAGCTCATGCTTGTAATCCCAGCACTTTGGGAAGCTGGGGTGGGCGGATCACCTGAGGTCAGGAGTTCGAGACCAGCCTGACCAACACGGTGAAACCCCATCTATACTAAAAATACAAAAATTAGCTGGGCGTGGTGGCGGGCGCCTGTAATCCCAGCTACTCTGGAGGCTGAGGCAGGAGAATCGCTTGAACCCGGGAGGCGGAGGTTGCAGTGAGCCCAGATCGCGCAATTGCACTCCAGCCTGGGTAACAGGGCGGGAGTACGTCTCAAAGAACAAACAAAAAAACCACAAAAATTCTCCAAACATTAAGAAACAAAAACAAACAAACAAAAAAACAAAATTATGTGCTCACTTTGGCAGCACACTAGAATACAAAGATTAGCAAATTAAATAATTTTTTTTTAAATTAGCCAGGTGTATTAGCACACTGTAGTCCCAGCTACTCATGAGGCAGAGACGGGAAGATTATTTAAACCCAGGAGCAGTGATTGCAGTGAACATTCATCCTACACCGCAGTACTCCAGCCTTGACGACAGAGTGAGACCCTGTCTCAAAACAAAAACTCCAACCCTTTTCTCGTAGTCATAAAGTAAAACTAGAAATAAAGTTATATCTTGCCTTCCAGTTTCTTGAAATTTCCTGAACCTAGTAAATTTTTTTGTGTTCTCATGTGAACGCAATCTAAAAATACCTACTGGCACAACTGCTGTGACATTTCAGCTTTTTTTTTTTTTTTTTTTTGAGAAGGAGTCTGGCTCTGTCGCCCAGGCTGGAGTGCAGTGGCGCGATCTCGGCGCACTGCAAGCTCTGCCTCCCGGGTTCACGCCATTCTCCTGCCTCAGCCTCCCGAGTAGCTGGGACTACAGGTGCCTCCCACCTTGTCCTGGTAATTTTTTGTATTTTTTTTTAAGTAGAGACGGCGTTTCACCGTGTTAGCCAGGATGGTCTCCATCTCCTGACCTTGTGATCCGCCCGCCTCAGCCTCCCAAGGTGCTGTGATTACAGGCATAAGCCACCTCGCATTTCAGCTTTTGAAAGCACTTTCCAAAATGCGTCCTTTTAAAGGTAGGAAACCAAAAAGAAACTGAGCTGTGAAGGTTTCAAATTAGTTTTTTAAAAAATAAATGTTTATTTCAAGTATGAAAAGTAATGTTTAAACGTTGTCCCAAAATTGTGTTCAGTTTCACAAGTATAAAATAAGACTTCTGAAAAAAAGTTTACAATTAGTTATAAAACACTTAAGAATATATTTTGACATTCACATCACAGTGGGCATTTTTGAAAAATAAATTTTGCTAATATAGCTTAGAAACCAAAACATATTTACAGTCCCATTTAAATAAACAAGTCCTTAACTGAGGAACGGTCCTCCCTCAAGATGGGTAGAATTTCAAATTGATTTGTATAAGCATTCCTTTTAAAATAATGGTAAATCTGGTTCAATAAAGTAGAAATTCAAATACCTTGTTTCCCCGGTGAATACCATCCATTTCTTACACATGGCTACCCAAAGTTCTCAAGCCATTTTAATTAAGCACTTTCAATGAAATACAATGAAAGTGGGAACCAAACTCTGAGAAATCTTTATCATGGCATTTCTCATTAGTTTCAGCGAAATATTTTGAACAGAAAAGGAAAGAAATTTCCCAGTGGCAATTACAAAACCACATCTTGTAATTATTTTACAGGACTGCTACCAAGGCTTCTGCTTCTCTTCTCCAGGTACATCTGTTTGTAGGTTTGAAACATTTCTTTTGAATCTTTTACTGGGTTTTGTAGCATCTCAAATCCATCTGCACTGAAGCTTCTCTTCGAGAGTCTTGAATTAACATTATCTAAGGGAAATAAAAACTTTACTTACTTTATTTCTCAATGTTAGCTGTGATCAATATATAATCAAAATTCAGAGGGAAAATATATATTGGAGGGATAAAAAATTAAGGCAAGGAGTTAAGCAAAAGTTTCAGAACCATAGCTCTTCACTTATAGAATTGTAAGTTATATACACGTGACATCTTGCCTTTCTTTTGGGGGCTGTTTTCTACTCCTGCCTCCTTGCCCCATCCTCATTGCCCTGGGCTGTTCTGTTCTACCTTACTCTTGGCTCAATAAAATGTATCATTGCATATCATTAGTATGAATGTGATCTTTTAAACAGCTATGTAAATTAGCAATACAAAGAGTACAAATATGAGTCAGTCCCAAACAATACATGAAAAGGATAGGTTTCATATTTTGGTCTTGCCATGTATTGGATATTCTAAAACATGTCTATAGTTTCCTGTTTCTTGAGACCATTTCAGTGTTACATTAGCTTCAGTGTCCTTTTTTCATAATGACCCATCACCTATTGAAAATATGTTGAGGCTGGGTATGGTGGTTCACGCCTGTAATCCCAGCACTCTGGGAGGCCAAGGCAAGCAGATCACATGAAGCCAGTTCAAGACCAGCCTGGCCAACATGGCGAAACCCTGTTTTGACTAAAAATACAAAAATTAGCTGGGCAGAGGTTGCAGTGAGCCGATATCACACGACTGCACTCCAGCCTGGGTGACAGAGCGAGACTGTCTCAAAAAACAAACAAACAAACAAACAAACAGAATTGCTGTATGGGTATGCGAAATACACTTTCTACTGAATGTGTATCACTTTCATACCATCACAGTCAAGAAATCCTAAGTCAAACCACTGCCAAGTCAGGGACTATCTGTACATTTCATTCCTGCTGCAGCTATTTTCTTCTGAATAATGGGGTCTTGTTTTGTCTTTTTCTACCTGAATGGGTGGAGTATTCTGTCCTGTTAGTTCTTTAGATCTGCTGCAGTCTTCCACTTTTTCGTTTGCTTTCTTTCAGAATTAGTAACACTGAAGCCCCAGATGGGTCTCTAAGTTGCTTTCCAAGAAATTCTTGTCATTTCCTCTTCATCTCTTTACCCTAACTTAGGACTTCAAGTTTGCTGCAACCTTTGCTACTGAATTTAGACATCTGTTTCTCCTGTGGGTTTTTTTTTTTTTGAGACAGGGTCTTGGCTCTGTTGCCCAGGCTGGAGTGCAGTGCTGCATCAGGGCTTATTGCAGCCTCAACTCCTGGGCTCAGGTGATCCTCCTTCCTCAGTCTGCCAAGCAGCTGGGACCACAGGTGCGCACCACTATGCCCAGCTAATTTTTTAAAAAGTTATTTGTAGAGATGGGATCTCCTGATGTTGCCGAAGCTGGTCTCAAACTCCTGGGCTCAAGCCATCCTCCGGCCTTGACCTCCCAAGTGCTGGGATGACACACATGGGCCCCACACCAGGCCAGATGTATGTTTCTTTATAGCAGATTGGGAGTTCATGGCATTTTTCTCTCACTTCATAGTTGGTTCACTGTTCTCCAGCCTCTTTGTCTAAGGTATATAATTCACTATTTCCCAGAGATCCCTTCTCCAGAACCAGCTTCACTCGCCCCTAATAGGCATTTAAAAAATGCCCATGTGGCCGGGCGCAGTGGCTCACACCTGTAATCCCAGCACTTTGGCAGGCTGAGGTGGGTGGATCACTGAGGTTGGAGTTCAAGATCAGCCTGGACAACATGGTGAAACTCTGTCTCTGCTAAAAATACAACAATCAGCCAGGTGAGGTGGTTCACGCTACTCAGGAGGCTGAGGCCGAGGCAGGAGAATCGCTTGAACCCAGGAACCAGAGGTTGCAGTGAGCCTAGGTCGCACCACTGCACTCCAGCCTGGGCGACACAGCGAGACTGTCTAAAAAATAAAATAAATAAATAAATAAAAATAAGTAAATAAAAATGCCCATGTAGCCATCACCTGAGATTTTTTTCTCCTCCCTTAGGTCTCACCTATTTGCGTCTTGTTGTGCCATGACAAAGCTGTATGACTTGTCTCCTGGACTGTCTCACCCAGCTTTGCCTTAGTGTACCTGGTTTGTGTTTTTCTTTCATCATGATTCTGAGTATTTCAGCCTCACATTCACCGTGCAGTGCTCATCCTGCTGTGCTGTCTGCACATGTCATTCAACTCATGCCTATCTCTGAAGCCTCTGGTCAATCTGTGTATCTGTCTTTTGAGTGTTTTCAGCTTCAGATTCCAAACATGCCTCTCGCTTTCTCTTTGAGATAATCATGTCTCTCCTGTTTCCAAGGAGCTTTTTTCTTACTCCAATCTTCGTACCCATTTGTATCTTTCGCATTTTTGGCTTTCTGCCTTCCAACCCGAGAGGCATTGTTTTCCCACTGTCAGGCCTCTCACTGCTCTTCATTCCCTCCTCTTTAGGTTATTTGTCCTGTTCTGATTAAGAGTATATTTCTTCATTGATGCAAGTTTTTCCCATATGCATGTTTCAATGCTAACTGACTTTTTTTTTGAGACAGAGTTTTGCTCTGTCGCCCAAGCTGGAGTGCAGTGGTCCGATCTCAGCTCACTGGAACCTCCGCCTCACAGGTTCAAGTGATTCTCCCGTCTCAGCCTACTGAATAGCTGGTATTACAGGCATGTGCCACTACACCTGACTAATTTTTATATTTTTAGTAGGCATGGGGTTTCATAATGTTGGCCAGGCTGGTCTCGAACCTCTGACCTCAGGCGATCTGCCTGCCTCGGCCTCCCAAAGTGCTGGTATTACAGGCGTGAGCCACCTCGCCCGGCCTCTACTCAATTTTTACACGCCTGCTTCTAAGTATTTGTTTGAAGCTCTCTTCACAACCGTTGTCAATTCCTTTTATAAAATGTGCTTCTTATTGTTTCTCTTGGTGAGTTTCTGCTGCTCTCCATTTTTGAGGCTCTGAACCCCTCTTTGCCTATTTTTTTTTTTTTTTTTTTGAGACAAGACTCTCTCTCTGTCACCCAGGCTGGAGTGCAGTGGCGACATATTGGCTCATGGCAAGCTCCGCCTCCTGGGTTCATGCCATTCTCTTGCCTCAGCCTCCCGAGTAGCTGGGACTACAGGTGCCCGCCACCACACTCGGCTTATTTTTTATATTTTCAGTAGAGACAGGGTTTCACCGTGTTAGCCAGGATGGTCTCAATCTCCTGACCTCATGATCCGCCTGCCTCGGCCTCCCAAAGTGCTGAGATTACAGGTGTGAGCCACCGTGCCCAGCCCCCTCTTTGCCCATTTAATGAACCAAAACTAAGACAAAAACTCTTGAGCTCTAGCTTTTAGTTTTCAAAGCCAAACCCTAACAACAAGGTACTTTCACTCCACTAATTAAATCATATATTCGGGTGGACACGGTGGCTCATGCTTGTAATCCCAGCATTTTGGGAGGCCGAGGCAGGTGGATCACCTGAGTTCAGGAGTTTGAGACCAGCCTGGCCAACATAGTGAGAGAAATCCAGTCTCTACTAAAAATACAAAAATAAGCCAGGCGTGGTAGTGTGCTTGTAGTCCCAGCTACTCAGGAGGCTGAGGCAGAAGAATTGCTTGAACCTGGAATGCAGAGGTTGCAGCAAGGCCGAGATCGTGCCACTGTACTCCAGCCTGGGAGACAGAGCAAGATGCCGTCTCAAAAAAAAAATCAAATACTCAAAGCTCTACTTTTTCTAGTTGGTCCTCAGCCCAAATCCCTTCCCAGCAAATAACACAGCTAGGACCGGTCTCATTATTAAAATACAGTCATCCCTGGGTATTGAAGAGGGACTGATTCCAGGACACTTCTGCAGCATCCACCCAAATAGATACCAAAATCTGGGGATGCTTAAGTTCCTTATGTAAAATGGCATAGTATATTGTATATAACCTAAAGCATACCCCCCACACATACCTTAAATAATTTCTAGATTACTTTTAATACCTAATACAATGTAAATGCTATGTAAACAGTTGTTATACTATATTGTCTTTTAAGTTTCTATTTTTATGGTTGTATTAATTTTTTTCCCAAATATTTTGGATCCACAGTTGCTTGAATCCACAGATACGGAACACGCAGATACGGAGGGCTGACTATACCTCAACCACACTTAATGGACTTTGAAAAGAGGGGACCAGATTCAAGTCCCTATTCAGTCACTAGCAATGAAACTTAAGTCAAATGATGTAACCTCTCATCTATAAAATGGAAATATCCTTGCCTAAATTGTATTGAAGATTAATCAAATTAACATGTAAATAATTGAATCCAGGGTCTGGCAAACTAAGTCCAGCCTGCTGCCTATTTTGGTAGATAAAGTTTAATTAGAGGCCAGGCACGGTGTCTCATGTCTGTAATCCCAGCACTTTGGGAGGCCGAGGCAGGTGGATTACCTGATGTCAGGAGTTTGGGACCGGCCTGGCCAACACGGTGAAACCCTGCCTCTACTAAAAATACAAAAATTAGCTGGGCGTGGTGGTATGCAACTGCAGTCCCAGCTACTTGGGAAGCTGAGGGAGAAAATCGCTTGAACCTGGGAGGCAGAGGTTGCAGTGAGCCAAGATGACGCCACTGCACTCCAGCCTGGGTGACAGAGTGAGACTCTGTCTCAAAATAAATAAATAAATAAATAAATAAATAAATAGTTAATCAGAACACAGCTGATACTCATCTACATATTATCTGCAGCCATTTCCCTGAAACAGAGTCAGAGCTGAGTAGTCAGGACAGACACCTTATGACCCAGAAAACCTAAAGTATTTGCTGTCTGGTCCTATACAGGTAAAATATGCAAACCTCTTAGCTAACTCATTGTGATAAGACTTATTTTCCTATTAAAATAAAATAAAGCTCAGCCTTTCATTCCACAGCACGACAACACAAAAATGTCCTCCTACCACTCAAACACAAACACTGAATGACTGAAAAAAAAAAAAGAACATGGATAAAATCATACTTTACAATCATATCATAACCATAATCCAATTTCCATATACCAGATAGGGAGATAAGTGAATGAAGATTTAAAAAGATGACTTTACCTCTCTCTTGGCTGTCTTTCTGTGTCCTTTTCTTTGTAGCAACAAATTTTAACCAGTCTTCTTTTGTACTTTTTATTCCTGAAACTATTTAAATATTCATTTTCAGAACTCTAGATATTGCTAATCATCTCCTTTAGTACTATAACAAAGGAAAATCATGTAAGCTGAAAATAGATTTTGAAAGGCCCTAGATATAACCACATGTAACACAACTCTAAAAAAAGGACTGGAAAAATGATTTCTATTTGAAATGCTTACCTCAATTAAAAAATGAGTTTATCTTTACTATGTAATTATGTTCCCCTCACATGAACTGAAGAGGTTAATACATCTCCAGATATTAAAGGACACATGAGATAGAAAACTACATTGCCCCCACCCACTTCCAATGTTCCCATTATATCCCCACCTCAAATTCCAAGGATCCAAATGAAAGAACCTATTGAAATCACCAATTTTTTACAAAATGAATATATCCCTATCTTCTTTTCCAGGAAAACATATCCTGTTTATGCTATTGTTTTATGAACCCCAACAAATATAGTCAGAAAAGCAGAGCAAAGACTTCAATTTCCATTCAAATCCTTTAGTTTTCCAATCTTTCTCAGCACAATGCTTTACATATAATATCCACTATGTCTAAATGTTCCCTTAGTACCATGAACAACTAGTT
Organism: Homo sapiens; assembly: GCF_000001405.40. Lineage (NCBI taxonomy): Eukaryota > Metazoa > Chordata > Mammalia > Primates > Hominidae > Homo > Homo sapiens. Next base: position 31,986,649 of record NC_000012.12, on the reverse strand, counting down.
ATCAATTTTCTCCTTCCTTCCTGCACTACATTGAGAAGTCTACCATTAAGCTACCTAATATTCATAGCTGCCAGCTTGGCTTTAAAGATTTTAAATTATAACACTGGACAATACTGCTTTCAAGGTTCTTCTATCTTATGAGTAGGCTAGATGTTACCATTTTAAATATAGTGATAACACAGCCATCAACTGTTTCAAAGAGGACAATTAGTTGACCCATTTCCATATGAACAAAAAGACTTCAGTATTCATCATTACTTATCCTCTAACATTCAGAACAAAATTTCAAGTTCACAGGGCTTTCAAATTACAAGTCCAAAGGAGAATTAACAAAACCAAGACTCTTACATTACTAGCTACTTGACACTTTTCTGACATTCCCACAAGGAATGTGGAATGTTTTTCACAGTACAGCCTTCTTGGTACTAACTGAAATATTTCTATCTGGCAAGTTTTACATATAGCTCGTCATGACGACCAATTTTCTACAATTTACAATAAGGTGGCAATGAACACAAAACAAATATTGCCCAATGAAACATTGGTTTACCAGGCAAAACAAATACTAGGTAGTGGCATAACACATTAAAGTCTTTCCCAGCAGCCCAAGACAGCATGAGAGGTGCTAGCCCAAATATTGACCTACGACTCTTTACAATATTGTAGACACCACCAAGAAAATCATACTGGACCTTGCAGAGGGGCTTGCTCCTTCCTAGGATGAGGCTTTACATCCTTCCGTTCTTCCACAGAGTTTGTATTCTTTAGTAAGATATCTGGACATAATTTAAACTCCAGCATGTTTGATTTTTCTGTGTTACCTTTCACCGGTAAAAAGGTCTTATGTTTATTTTCCTGTCTCTTATCTTTATGAAGCTTCCTGGGTGAACTTTCTAATTTGGTGAGAGAAATGCTTTCACGTTCAGTGCATTTAAACCCAACTCTATTCAGATATAATTTCTTTTGATCCTTTACTTGGGGAGGCATTTGGCTGAATTGAGCTTCGTTGCTTATATTGGTTAATTTGTCTAATTTAGTCTTATCAATCCATATTTTATCAGGCTGCTTCCCACCAACTTTTTCTTTAACATTCCTTAGAATGTTGTATGTTTTAGACTCCTGAGAATGGTGGATTTTGAGGTTTTTACCATGGCTTGTCAAGCCATTTAATGATTCTTTAGAGGTCTGCACGCCGCTGCTGTGTTTCTCATTTGATTTCCCACAACTTTCAACCTGCACGGCAAGTTTACTTGGTCTCATATGTTCAGAATCACATGGCACGTTTTTCACACAGATTTTCTTCGATGCTTTATTACTCAGAGCTTCTTTATGCTTCTGCCTTTGTAAATACTCCTTAGGAGTTAGAATTCTACTAAATTTAGATGAACTCGCTTTCGTGTCTACAGACTTAGTATTTGATACCATCTTTTCTTTAACAATGGCTCTTTCGTTTGGGTTTGACAAAGAGTCACCTAATTTGAATGTAGCTCCCACACTTCCTTTCTGTTCTTGTTTATCATGTTTCTTTTTCTTTACTTCCATATCTAATACGTTCCCTTGGTCTAACTTTCGTTTTTGTTTGAAGCTAACTGATTTGAGTTTCAATTTTATCTTTTCTGGTGATAATGACTGTCCCAAAGAACTATGCTTCTTATACACATCTTTATTTGGCAAAAAAGCTGTTTTTGTTTTTAGTGGACGTGAGTTCTGTGTTACATGTTTCTTCTGTCGGGTTTCCTGAGAAGCTTGTTCATAAGATGCTGTCATTTTATTACTGGAGTGAAAGGTTACCTCGTGAAACCTCAATTTTTTTCTTTTGTGATTTTGCAAGGGATTTAGTTTATCACATTTAGATGAAAACTGACCAGCAACTAATTCTTGTTCTGTCCTTGGTAAGCTTTTATGTTTTGTTTTGGGTGTATCTTTTCTACTGTCGTCTTGTAGTTCAGGAAAATGACTTTTCCCATCTGGAGGAGTCTTTGGATTATTTACAAGGCTCTTAAATTGAACAACAGTGACATCTCTATCAGAAGTTCTCTCTCCTTGTTTACAACTGTTGGTATCCAAAGGAGAACACTGCTCTTTTTGTTTCTCTTCCTCTGAAGATGAGTTCTTGATGGAATTACACTGACACTGGGGTACTCCTTCGTAAACCATGGAGAGCCAGCCCAATGCACAGCAGTGGATATCATCTTTCTCAGAGTCCAGTATCACAGAATCACGACTTTGTCCAGCTGCAGGTGCCTGCAGGTCACACTGGCTAACTACTTCTGTGATGGGCTCTTCTTTCTGAGGTTCTGCCAACTTGTCTACTACATAGGGTTGATCATCCTGTTCAGGAAATATTTCTTTCATTTGCTCTGAGCTTAATATTGTAATTTGTATTTGATCTGCTGGGTCTTTGGAGTCAGAACTGGTTTTATCAGCAGTTTGATCTTCTGAGGTCTGGTATGTAGTTTGCTGGCCCACAGAACCTTCACGTGTATTCACAGCCTCAATGCCATAAGGAAACTCTTTTAGAAGTTCTGACAGCTGGTCATGTAGGTATAAGACAGGTGCCTTATCACTGTGGATTTCATTTCTTGCAGGATCTTGGGGAGTATAGTTGCTGGATGCATCTATTTCCTGAGGGTAAATATCCTCCTGAATAGCAGCTGACGAGCACGTATCGTTAGCTGTGCTTTTTTCAGTGGCATGCTCCAAACTACTTTTCTCTAGAATAACTCTGTTTGTTTCAAGATTGTTAAAAGATGACTCTAAGGGTGGCTCTGACTTTGACTGATCACATATTTTATGTGAAACATCTGTGCACTGTACAGGTTTATCTTTTTGAAAACCAAAGTCTTTATTTTCAGTGGTATTATCTAATTGTTTTTCTGGTTCTCTGCTGCCAATCCCTTGCTGATTGGGTAGAGAAGGTTTCTGTGGCTCAACCATTTTCAAGGGAAGAGAGCTGAATATCTTTGCTATTTGGGAATTGTAAGAGGTATCACCTTCAACCAGAGAACAAATATTGTCAATCTGTAATGTATCACTACTCACAACAGTACTATTCCTTGACTCCTGTGAGATTTGCTGATCGTTCATAGGAGAATGGATAGCTGACTCTAATTTGTTATGCTTTCCTTGATTGACATTAGGTGTGACTTCTGAATTACCATTAGTTGACTCATTCTGCTTTTCCTTCTGAGTTAGTGGAAAAATCTTGGTTGATGTTGCTGTACTTGCTACTGGTCCACTAACATCAACTTTCAAAGCAGCAGTTGCCTTTGCATTTTCTGCCAATTGATTTTGTAAACTACAAACACTGCCTTCTTTAATAACGGGATACACTGTTTCAGGTAACACTGCAGGTGTTATTCCTTTGACAGACAATGTTTTGACCTCTGACAGAACTAACGGTGACACTACAGCTATCTGAAGTTCTGTTCCCTTTGTTATATTTATACCTGAAGACTCATAATTGTGCATTACCATCGACAAAGCTGTCTGCTGTGAGGGATTACTTATTTTATTCTGAGAATTTGAATTTCCCACAACTGAACAAGGACTCTTAACGTGGATGTTAGCAGGCTTTGAAATTCCAACTGCTGTTGTGTTTGTTCTGAGTTTATCACACTCCTTTTCTTTTGCAGTATCTGAAGGTTGCTTTTTCCACAGGGAAAGACAGGTTGCTAGCACTTCCATGGAACAGCTACTGTCACTTTTAGCAGGCATTCCTTTTGTTGAGGATTCTTGTCCACTGCAAAAGGAGTTGTCCAAAACCCTGCCACTTACATTAGAAGTACTTGGAGTTTCCATGTTCTTCAAATTCAGTTGGTTACCAGTCATTTGGGTATTTGGATTCATTTCACAACTGTCTGGTTTAGAATCCTGAATAGTTTGATTAGCATCTTTTAATACTGTCTTCTGAGTCTTACGTGCCTGTGAAAGCAAAGCGAGAAGTAGCATATTTTCATTTTGAATTTTTGATTTATATTCCTCAGTGGACATGGACTTGGGAACAGAAATTGTTTCACAAACTGCTGGTGAATTTTGCTCAACTTTGGTAACATTTTCTGATGAAAGCTGAGTATTCAATACTGCCTGGGTCATCTCAACAGCTGATGTCTTTGAAGTGAGAACTTTCACATCATGAGATGAGTCTGGCATTGGCCGCTTTTCAGAATAGACAGGATTTGGTAAAACAGAATCAACTTGGTTAAACCTTCTGCAATTGACTTCCTGAATGTCAGAATTCAACATACATTGAGTCTTATTTGTTTCTGCAGATTCCACTACTGTTGGTGTTTGTCTCTCTGCATTCTCTGGCATTACTGGAGTTATCTGGGGTCCAGACTGGATTTTGGCAGTTTGTTTTAGAGACAATTTAGAATTCTGAGCTGGTTCACTATAAGAAGTATTAGTCATTTTAATACAACCTGCTGCCATCAAAAGATCTTTATTGATTTTAATTTTCCTTGCAAGTTCTGAAAACTTCTGTTTTATCTCTACTAATGTTTTAATATCCCTTACTAGCTTTTCTTTTGCAACACTTGTGTCCAGTACTTGATTTGAAGTTGGATTGCAAGAATCCATTATTTTCTCTTCATTAGTTTGAGCAAGAGTCTGAACACCATCCACAGAAGATCTAATGGGACTGTTAAAAGGCTGTTTGCTGTTGGTATTTACTTTCAAGTTAGTGAAATTTCCAATTGTGCTGACATTTTCATTAGGGTTTTGCCACTGCTGTTGAAAGCTGGTCCTTATTTCAGATGACAGCATTTCTCGACTCTGAGGAACTTCCATAGACAAGTGTTTAGTAATATGCTGAGTACTTTGCAAAGGCTGGCTTCCATATCTACAGTTGTAAGGAGGAGGAGGAGGTCTTTTGTCAGTTTGCGTGGCATACTGCTGTGATGGTACAGCTGAGGTCTGCCTTGATGGTAAAGTTAATACAGAATTTAGAAGCTGACTATTTTTAACTTGCAATGATGTATGTGGTATAAAGTTTTGTTTTTGAATGGTAGAATCTGGTAAAAAGCTTTGTGGTGAGTAACGGTATAGCTTTGGAGGTGGTCTGTAATCTGGGTAAGTCAGTCCCTTAGATATACACTGTTGTGTCCAATCAACCTGTTGCTCTGAAAAAGACTGGTTAAGTCCCTGATTTCCTTGGTAAGCTACAGGAAGTCGTGTAGAATTAGAAGGGATCATCTGCATTTGCATAGAATAGGTATCTGATGTTATCAGTTGACTCTGTAGTGCCGGCATATTGGGTACGTTAGCTCCAAAATCAGTTTGATGAGATACAGTTGCCCCTATATGAGAATGCACAGGATTCCTCATTGGTGAGTTCAACCATACGTTTTGGGTAACTCCTGAAGACATCTGCAAATTGTGAGTTAGTTGTTTGGGTCCATTAACATTTGCATATGTTATTCTTTCTACTGAAGTGTGTGAGGCCACAACTGTCCCATTATGCATATCAGAAACAGAAATTTGTTGAGGATAATTTTGGATATTCAGCAGTGGCTGTGAAATTGGATTTGAATTACCGGGATACATGCATGCTTCTTGGTTACTTCCAGGATAGCTGAAAGAACTCTGAGATGTTGTGGTAATTTGGTTTATTAAAGACTGGTGCAAAAAAGGTGGCTGGCTTTTAGGATACAGTGGTGGTAATGTAGCACTCTTTGGTTTTTCATTCCAATTCATTGTCGGTTTGATATAGTAGCAGTGTATTACAAGTCAGTTATAAGTCAGTTACAAGTCAGTTGTCTGAATGTCAGGAATCTGTAAGAAATAAAGATATTTTATTAAAATGCTGTTTTGCCTAGATAGAATATCTAAGAAAATTAGTAGCTGACTGTCCATCCTAATTACTGAATCTTCAGAGCAGCCTCATCTTTAATTTGGGAAGAAGAGGAGCAATAGAGGATACAACAATAAATAAGGCAAGTGTCAATGAAATTTCTAACGTGTTTAACAGAAATTCATTCCACACAATGACAGCTAGCTTTTTGTTACATTTAAATGCCAATCACCTTCTGTTTTTACTTATTTTTAACAGACTTTCTTCTAAGTAATCCATGCTAACTGCATTTTTTAAAAAAGCTAACATGACAATAAAAATGAGAATTTAAAAAAAAAGGGAAGTTCAAACATATGGTTAAAAACATTCTCATTGTTCATTCGCAAAGTCTAAACTCCCCAGGGCTATTCAAGGTTACCTTAATGAACTCAGTAAATTTCTGGCATAAGGCCGGGTGCGGTGGCTCATGCCTGTAATCCTAGCACTTTGGGAGGCAGAGGCAGGTGGATCACCTGAGGCCAAGAGTTTGAGACCAGCCTGGCTAACATGCCAAACCCCATCTTTACTAAAAATACAAAAATTAGCGGGGTGTGGTGGTGCACACCTGTAATCCCAGCTACTCAGGAGGCTGATGCACAAGAATCACTTGAACCTGGGAGGTGGAGGATACAGTAAGCCAAGATCACACCACTGCACTCTAGTCTGGGTGACAGAGTGAAGACTCTGTTTCAAAAAAAAAAAAAAAAAAAAGGAAAAGAAAATTTCTGGCATAAGCAAACACTAATTCATAAATATCTTTTGTTATTCATAATGAACTCTGTATGCACATACCTGAGTCTATGCTACTAAGGTGACTTAAAGTGGGGGCCCCTAGATACCATCAGGATACAGCTGGTGGTCACCAGGAAAACCAAGTATTAGACGGTTGGAACTTTTAGTTCTAACCACTGACCTCCATAAAGTGGTGGGGGGAGCTGGAGATTGGACTCTATAAAAAGTCTTGGCTGGGTGTGGTGGCTCATGCCTGTAATCCCAGCAGTCTGTGAGGCTGAGGCAGGAAGATCTCTTGAGCCCAGGAGTTCAAGACCAGCCTGGGAAACATAGTGAAACCCTGTCTCTACTGAAAATTAAAAAAAAAAAAAAATTACCCCGTCATGGTGGTGCATGCCCGTAGTCCCAGCCACCTACTCAGAAAACAGAAGGCAGTGTAGGGAGGATCATCTGAGCCTGGGGGTTGAGGCTGCAGTGAGCCATGGTGGCACCACTCCACTCCAGCCTGGGTGACAGAGTAAGGCTGTTTTTTTTAAAAAACAAAACTCTTGAACATTGAGATGTGATGAGCCGAGCTTCTGGGCTGGTGAACAGAACACACTGAAGTGCTGGGAAGGTAGTGACCTCAGAGAAAGCATACCTTGTTTGCTTTATAGCCAGTTGGTCAGAAGTACAAACCTGGACTTGTGACTAGCTTCAAGTGGGGGCAGTCTTGTAGGACTGAGCCCTTTAACTTGTGGGTTCTGATGGTAACATCAGGTAGACAGTGTCAGAACTGAATCAAATCACAAGCCACCCAGTTGGTATGTGGAGAGAATTGGTCAGTTGGGAAAAAATTCCCACACATCTGGTGTCAGAAGTACTGTGGGGCCAGGTGCAGTGGCTCACGCCTGTAATCCCAGCATTTTGGGAGGCCAAGGTGGGCGGATCATGAGGTCAGGAGATCGAGACCATCCTGGCTAACACAGTGAAACCCCGTCTCTACTAAAAATACAAAAAATTAGCCAGGTGTGGTGGCAGGTGCCTGTAGTCCCAGCTACTCAGAAGGCTGAGGCAGGAGAATGGTGAGAACCCGGTAGGCGGAGCTTGCAGTGAGCCCAGATGGCGCCACTGCACTCCAGCCTGGGTGACAGAGCTAGACTCCGTTTCAAAAAAAAAAAAAAAAATCATGAGATCATTTCAAAAATCTAAGATAAGAATTTCTGACAAAATCAAATACTGCCGGGCACAGTGCCTCACACCTGTAATCCTGTAATCGCAGCACTTTGGGAGGCTGAGGCAGGGGTATCACGAGGTCAGGAGATGGAGACCATCCTGGCCAACACGGTGAAACCCCGGCCTCTACTAAATATACAAAAAAAAAAAAAAAAAAAAATTAGCTGGGTGTGGTGGCGGGCACCTGTAGTCCCAGCTACTCAGGAGGCTGAGGCAGGAGAATCACTTGAACCCAGGAGGTGGAGGTTGCAATGAGCTGAGATTGCGCCACTACACTCCAGCCTGGCGACAGAGCGAGAGCCCGTCTCAAAACAAAAAACAAAAAACAAAAAAAAACCCCAAATACCTACATATTTAAAAAATTATAAAGATGGAAACTTCTTTTGATAAATGGTAGCTAAAACAATTAAATAGTAACATGGAAGATGCCACTATCCCTCCATTAATCATTTTACTGGAGATCCTAGCTGGTATAAAGAAAAAAATATTAGGAGTATAAGCAGAGAGGAAAACACAAAACTGAGTATCAGATGTTATACAGAAAATCCAAAACTATGTAGAGATCTTTTTGTTTTACTGTTTATTACAATGCCCAAAAATAAGGTCAAAATGCAAGAATATTATCAGCAGTAATCTTTTAAAATACCATTAAAAAAATACTTAGAAAATGAAGGATGTGTCACATCTCTAACAAACAGCTGAGTGTAAAGATATGCCATGTTCAAATATTTGAAGACAGCATTAAAGATGCCAATAATCTCAAAATTTAGGTCAAGCGCAGTGGCTCTTGCCTGTAATCCCAGCACTTTGGGAGGCTGAGCTGGGCGACTGCTTGAGGTCAGAAGTTCAAGACCAGCCTGAACAACATGGTGAAATCCTGTCTCTACCAAAAATACAAAAAAAAAATTAGCCAGGTGTGCACACCTGTTGTCCCAGCTACTTGGAAGGCTGAGGTGGGAGGATTACTTGAGCCTGGGAGGTGGAGGTTGCAGTGAGCTGAGATTGCACCATTTGCACTCCAGCCTGGGCAGCAGAATGAGCTCTTGTCTCAAAAAAAAAAAAAAAAAAAAAGAAAGAAAGAAAAAGTAATTAAGAGTCAATACAATCCCAGTGGATTTTTTGATTTTTTGGGGTAACAAGCTTGATTATAAACTTTCCATGGAAATGCAAAACAAGCATGAATAGCGAAGACATACACACACTTTTATATATAGACACTTGTTTTATGACAAAGTTAGGAAAAAAGTTCTTTTCAATACATGAAGCTAGGTCAATTGGTTATCTATATGCCACGAATGAAAATAAGCCTTATCCAATTACACAGCAAGAGACATATACAAACAAATCAATCCCAGGTAGATTATCGTTTTAAAGTTTCCAGAAACAGGCCAGGCATGGTGGCCCACGCCTGTAAATCCCAGCACTTTGGGAGGCCGAGGCGGGCAGATCACCTGAGGTCAGAAGTTTGAGACCAACCTGACCAACATGGATGGTGAAGCCCCCGTCTCTACTAAAAATGCAAAAATTAGCCGGATGTGGTGGCACACACCTGTAATCCCAGCTACTCGTGAGGCTGAGGTAGGACAATCCCTTGAACCAGGGAGGCGGAGGTTGCAGTGAGCCGAGGTCGCACCACCGCACTCAAGCCTGGGCAACAAAAGCGAAACTCCATCTCAAAAAAACATGAGAATATCTTTATGCCCTCGGGATAGGGGAAGGTTCCTATAACAGGGCACAATGAACAATAAGAAAAAAGGTCCATAAAACGGACTGCATCAAAATTAATCACCACTGTTTATCAAAAAACACCATTAAGGAAGTGAAAAAGTAAAGTCACTCTCTAGAAGATTATATTCGCAATACATAGCAAAGAGATCATATCCAGCCTATATAGGGAATTACGTAAAAAGAAAAATGTAGACAACTCAATAAAAAATAAGCATGAAGCTTAATTAAACACTGTATGAGACACTACAGTTGATCCTTGAACGTGGCTTTGAAGTGCGTGGGTCCACTTATACGTGGATTTTCTTTTGTCTATGCTACCCTGGAGACAGCAAGACCAACCCCTTCTCTTCCCTCCTCCTCCGCCTAGTTAAGATAAATGTGATGAGGATAAACACCTTTATGATGATCCATTTCCACTTAATGAATAGTAAATATATTCTCTTATGATTTTGGTTTTTTTTTGAGATGGAGTCTCGCTCTGTCACCCAGACTGGAGTGCAGTGGTGCGATCTCGGCTCACTGCAACCTCTGCCTCCTGGGTTCAAGTGATTCTCCTGTCTCAGCCTCCCGAGCAGCAGGGATTACAGGGTCCCACCACCATGCCAGGCTAATTTTGTATTTTTAGTAGAGACAGGGTTTCACCATGTTGGCCAGGCTGGTCTCGAACTCCTGACCTTGTGATCCGCCGCACCCAATCCCTTATGATTTTCTTAATAAAATTTCCTTTTCTCAAGCTTATTCTAAGAATACAGCATATAATACATGTAACATACAAAATATGTGTTTATCAACTGTTTAATGTTACTGTTAAGGCTTCCACTGAACAGCATGCTATTGTTAATCAAGTTTTGGCGGAGTCAAAAGTTAAATGTGGATTTTTTTTACTGCACAAGAGTCAGTTATCCTAATTCCTATGTTATTCAATGGTCAACTATATTTAAATGGCAAAATTTTTGGTAAGTGCTAAATCCATTATGAATATCAGAAATGTAAATGAAAACCATAAGGTGGTAATACTATACACAATGGCTAGAATTTTTTCAACTCTCAATACCACATGTTGGCAAGAAAATGGAACAAATGGAACTCTCCTACAATGGTGATAGGAGTATATCATGATCCTTAAAGTAACCAACACTTTGGAAAGACGTATGGCATCATCTACCAAGGGTTAATAAATGCAAGCCCTGAGACCTAGAAGTTTCATTCCTAGGTATGTACCAAACAGAAATGCATAATTATAACACTGCCAGCAGCATTAGGTGCAGTAAGCAAAAACTGGAAACAAACAAAATAGAAATGTATTCATATTAATGAAACACTATAGTAACAAAAATAAAAGGCTATATGCAACATGAATCTAACAAACACAAGACTGAGTGAAAAAGGCCAGAGATTAAAGAATAATCCATGATTCCATTTATATAAAGATTGAAACACAGACAAAACCAACCATCTAGGGACTGTAGTGGTACTTTTTACAAAGTGTGATGGAATAGCAATTGGTAGTTAAGTAGCATGAAGACTGCTTTTGACCAGGGTGATACTTACACACAAGTGTGTTCCCTACATAATCCACTGCATTATACACTTACCATTTGTACCCTTTCTTAGGTATGTTTTGATTTCATAAAGTTATTTTTTAAAGCTCTCTTATAATAGTAGATGCATACTATTAAGCATTTATCAAAACCCGTAAGACCCATTGGATACAGAGTAAACTCTAATGTTAGTGATGGACTTTAATAATAACATATCAGTATGACTAATCCAAGTTGCTAATAGTGGAACCTTAGAGTTTTGGAGATGGGAGGTTCCTATAAAGCTCTTATATGGGAATGCTCTGTACTATAAGCTCAGTTTTCTTTTTCTTTTTTTTTCAGATGGAGTCTCGCTCTGTCGCCCAGGCTGGAGTGCAGTGGCACGATCTGCAACCTCCACCTCCCGGGTTCAAGCAATTCTCCTGCCTCAGCCTCCCGAGTAGCTGGGACTACAGGCGCGCGCCACCATGCCTGACTCATTTTTTATATTTTTGCTAGAGATGGGGTTTCACCATGTTGGCCAAGATGGTCTCAAACTCCTGACCTCATGATCTGCCTGCCTTGGCCTCCCAAAGTGCTGGGATTACAGGCGTGAACCACCATGCCTGACCTCAATTTTCTTTAAACCTAAAACTCTTCTAGAAAATAAAGTCTATCCGTTAAAAAAAAAAAAAAAAGGCAGCCACCACATGCTGACACTCATTTTACAACTCTCAGGCGTTAGGACTCTGTTCCTCTCACTACTTTGACTAGTCCACAAGGTTGGAAGCAGAATGGGTCACAGTGTTCACTGACAGAAGAAAAGCAGCACTTCTAAGGAGAATTAATGATGCTTCATAACTGCCCGTCCCCCTCACTGTCCCCTGGCTTTTACGTCAACTTGGAGGAGAGAGTCTCATGAACTGAATTGTACCCTCCCCAAAATTCATAAGTGAAAGCCCTGACCCTCAGTGTATTTGGAGATAGGGCCTTTAAGGAGATAATTGGTTAAGTGAGGTCATTAGAGTGGGGCTCTAATCCGACTAGTATCCCCCATAGGAAGAGGGACACCAGCGATGTCGGCCCACAGAGGAAGGACCACGTTAGGACACAGCAAGAAGACAGTCACCTGCAAGCCACTGAGAGAGAAGCTTCAAGAGAACAGAAATCAAACATATTGACCCTGGACTTCTAGCCGCCGGAACTGGGAGAAATAAATTTCTCCACCCAGTCTGTGGCATTACTGTCATAGTAGCCCACGATAAGAAATACATACTTGGTCTCTGCCCATGATTCCAGACACGGGGCACCTAAAACTCTTGTAGATTGGGGTATACAATCTTTTGCACTAATACGTGGTCTTTGAACCCGGTTCCTGACACAGAGCTCCTGAGACCTTTGTAATCTCCTGAGTAACAGGAGTGTCTGGTAACATAGAGGTGACCGTAGGGTGGGGCAGCACCTGGAGAGGGCATGGAAGCGCTCACATATGCATTCCCCCATGCATCTCTTCCACCTGGCTCTTCATCTAATAGGCTTTATAATAAGTAAACTATTTCCCTGAGTTCTGTGAGCTCTAGCAAATTAATCAAATCCACGGAGGGAGTCTTGACAATCCCCTCTTTGTAACAGGTTGGTCAAAAGTACAGGTCTGGCGAAGTCAGGGGCAGTCTTGTGGGACTGAGTCCTCAACCTGTGGGATCTGAAGCTTTCTCCAGGTAGATGATGCCAACATGTAATTGAATTGTAGGACACCCAGTTGTTGTCAGCTGGAAAACAGTTTGCGGATGGGAAGAAATCCAAATACATTCTGGTGACCAGAGATGAAGTGGTCAGTTGTGTGAAGAAGTTTTGGTTTTCCTATCTCAAACACAGCCCTAGCAATTAATACAGAGCATATGGGTAGGAAGGGAAACTATCTTTATGTTAATTTGGTTTTTTTTTTTTCCTCCATCCCTCTCCTTCACTGGCATAGAAGAAAACTGAAAACTCGAAAAGCACTCCGGAACGACCTAAATTGAAGTTTTTGGAAGATTGCCTACTAGCTACACAAATAGACTGTGAAAGGAAAATACAATCGACCCTTGAACAACATAGGGATTACGACTTAGGGTGGCAGTAGAGTGGCAGATGCAGAAGAAACTCCAAGTGTAGCCAGACAAGGTAGTGTGTGGATGCAGTCCCAGATACTCAGGAGGCAGAGATGGGAGGACTGTTTGAGCCCAGATGTTTGAGGCTGTAATGTGCTATGACTGTACACTGCACTCCAGCCTGGGCAACAGAGAGTGACCTCATCTCTTAAAAAAAAAAAAGTCAAATCCATGTGTATGTGGATCCACATGGGTCAAACTCACATTGTTCAAGGGTCAGCTGCAGTCTCTAGGATGGCATAATCTACTTGTGGATATAATGTATTCTTAGAACTTTCAAGAATATATTCTAACACAGATTACCATAGACAAGTTTCCATGGTCCATCACTACCATTTCTCTGAGAGAATAAATTCTCGCCCCAAGATCTCTGCCAGCCTCCATCACTGATAGTTTAATATAAAAAATACTTTTAAAAAGAATTTGTGCTTCCATGAAGTTACAAAAAATACAGTGAAAATATCGTTAAAGAAATTAAAAACAGAAAAAACAAAGAGAAATTAAAATGCTACATTAGAAAATACTCATTTATGCAAAATAAACCCCACTAAGGAATAAGAAAGGAATAAAAAGACGAGACATAAAAACAAAAAGTAAAACATTAGAGGTAAATGTAATTATATAAAAAATAACATTTTTATATAAACAATTCTGAGAATGTAGGAATAAACTTTCTCACACTTCTGACACCAGATGTGTGGGTGTCTCACCCCACATAACAAGCAATCAGTTCTGCAGTGTACACACCAGGTGGGTGTCCTCTAATTCATTTTAATTCCAAGACTATCTATATGAAGATAGTGTCAGATCTCATCAGTTTAGGGCTCAGTCCTGCAAGACTGCCCCCACTTTTTTTTTTTTTTTTTTTTGAGACGGAGTCTCACTCTGTCACCCAGGCTGGAGTGCAGTGGCACCATCTTGGCTCACTGCGAGCTCCGCCTCCCAGGTTCACGCCATTCTCCTGCCTCAGCCTCCTGAGTAGCTGGAACTACCGGTGCCCACCACCACGCCTGGCTAATTTTTTGTATTTTTAGTAGAGACAGGGTTTCACCATGTTAGCCAGGATGGTCTCGATCTCCTGACCTCGTGATCCACCCACCTCGGCCTCCCAAAGTGCTGGGATTACAGGCGTGAGCCACTGCGCCCAGCCGAGACTGCCCCCCACTTCTGATGCCAACACCAAGTCCCAGGTTATTTTACCTGTGCTTCCGACCGACCAGCTGTAAACTGGGATTCCCATGTCCCGCTCCTTTGGTTTGTCGTGTTAGAGCAGCTCACAGAACTCAGGGAAACACCTTATCAGTTTATTATAAAGTATATTACCAAGGATTCAGTTCAAGAGATGTAGAAGGCAAGGTCACATGAGAAGGGGCACAGCATTTCCATGCCCTCCCTGGGTACGCCACCCTCTAGGAACCTCCACCTGCTCAGCAACCTGAAAAGCCTTCTAAACTCTATCCTTTCCGGTTTTATGGAGGCTTCATTGCACAGATCTGATTAATTAAACCATTGGCTATTGGTGATCAACTTAACCTCACCCCCTCCCTCTCAACCAGGTGCACCTTCAAAGGTGTAAGAAATGAATTCCTTTTCTTCATAAAGGCCCCTGTTTCAGTTATTCTGCTATAAGTAACAGAAAATGGACTAAGATAGACAATTGGTACCAGGAATTAGGGGTAGGGCTGAAAAGTCCCAACCCTTTAATCGGGCCTTGGTCTTTCAGGTGACCAGCCCTCCATTCTGAAACTAGGGGATGTCAGCCATAAGTCAACTCATTAGCATACAAAAAAGACATTTATCACTTTGGAGACTGCTCGAATTTTAGGAGTGTATGCCTGAAAACAGGGATAAAGACCAGAGATATATTTCATAATATCACAATCCAAAAGACAGAGAATGTCAGTCTGGATTTTAAAAACTATCCAACTATATGTTATTGTTTCCAAGAGATATACCTTAGATCCAAAAACACAGACTGAAAGTAAAATGATGAAAAAGTATCACACAAATAGCTACAAGAAAGCTGGAATGCAGGCCAGGCACAGTGGCTCACACCTATAATCCCAGAACTTTGGGAGGCCGAGGTGGGTGGATTACCTGAGATCAGGAATTCAATACCAGCCTGACCAACCTGGTGAAACCCCGTCTCCACCAAATACAAAAAATTAGCCAGGTATAGTGGTACATGCCTGTAATCCCTGCTACCTGGGAGGATGAGGCAGGAGAATCACTTGAATCCGGGAGGCGGAGGCTGCAGTGAGCTGAGATTGTGCCACTGCACTCCAGCCTGGGCAACAAGAGTGAAACTCCGTCTCAAAAAAAGAAAGCAGGAATGCCTATACTAGTATCAGACAAAACAGACTAAGACAAAAAATGCTGATAAAGAGATGCATTTTATAATGATAAAAGGATCAACCCATCAAGGTAACAATTACAAACATATATGCACTGTTGTCTAAAACGAAGGTTCTTGAGGTAGAAATAATCTGATAAAGGTTTACTGGAGGCCAAATGTGAGGATCAATCTGGGAAGACATACCAACAGAGTTCAAAGTGTTCTGGAGTCCGCTACAAGTTGGA